>NC_000020.11:8702698-8854213 GCF_000001405.40 Homo sapiens | reverse complement strand
TCAGCAACTGAGGACTGTGCAATTGAGTTTTGCACACTGGAAAAAGAAAGATGGAACGAGTGTTAGAAAGTGGCTCATGGGTGACATTTTTCAGATCTTCCCTACCCAGGAAAGTTTAAGTTTATGGATGTTTATTTTGCCTTTGTGAGCTCTTCCTTTTTTCCCTCTGGCTTCTTGTTTTTGCCTCATGATTAATCATTTTGACTGCAGATCTGGCAATGTCAAGCATTGTGGGGCTCCTCTTGCCCTCTAGTGGTGAAATAGTAAAGTACAGCACTCGAAATACCATATGCCCATTACGAGTAAATGGTTAGAGCTTGGGAGAACAGCGCTTCTTTGTTGAATAACGCTTTGAAGCTTACACACACAATCACATAAAATGCCTCAGCACAGGGGACTGTGGAAGGAGAAGAAAGCGTCTTATTCTGAGTGTCATCATTTAGGAGACTCACACAAAAGTAAGAGAATCTTTCTAGGGAAATGTTCTCTTTTCTTTGCTTGAACTGAAGTTGCAATTTAGAGGCAGTTACCCTTAACCCTGGCATTTTTTTTCCCCCAGTACAAGTGTTCATAGAAGCACCACATGTAATAGGCAAAAGCTGGAAACAACCTAAATGTCCATCAACAGTGGAATGGGTAAATGAAGTGTGGTGTATTCACATACTTTATAGCAATTTTTAAAAACCCGACTACAGCTATCTACAACAACAAAAAAAGAAGCCAGATGCAAAGAACTATAGACTGTATGACTGTTTATATAAAGTTGCAAAACAGAAAAACTAATCTCTGTGTTGACTGACATCAGAATAGCTGTTACTTCCGGATGGAGGTAGTACTGACTGGGTTGGAGCACGAGGGAAGTTTCTGGGGTGTTGATAATGTTCTGTATCTTGACACAAGTGGTAATTTCATAAATTCTGTAAAAATTTGTCAAGCTGCATACTTTTTATCTGGGCATTTAATTTTTTCCTGAGGCTATCTTATATGGACTAATAACCTACTTTATTTTATTTATATAACTAATTGTCATGAGCATACTATTGGATTTATTTCCTTATGTGCCCAAAGTTCCTTTGATAAATACTTTTTTTAAATTTTGTGATAAGCCATTTTTCAGAAAATTCAATATGCACATGTTTTCATATCATCTGTAAATTCATGCATTCTGTGGAAGTTGTTTTTAGAGATGCTTCCACTTTCCAGGTGGTGACACTCACCTGACCTGCCTGACACTCATGTCCCCAATGGATATGGGGGCTGCCACACTGTAAACTGACATAATGTAACTTCTGGCCACCACTCAGGGGCAGTAACAAAATCAGAGGTCACTTCATGACACCTGGAGCCAGCCAGGGGCTATTGGATGTGATCATTCTGGTATACTGTGCTTCTGTTACCTGTAGGATCTAGCATTGGTGAGGTAAGATGGTTGGTAAATATTATAAGAAAACAATAAACATTACAAACCGGGAAAGAGTTGAGAAAATTGGAGAGCAAACTATGCTTTTGGAGATTTGTGGGGGCCTCTGGCACTTTCCAATCTTAGGATGTAAAAGTGAGCCTTCTCACA
The DNA here is from genome assembly GCF_000001405.40 of Homo sapiens. Classification (NCBI taxonomy): domain Eukaryota; kingdom Metazoa; phylum Chordata; class Mammalia; order Primates; family Hominidae; genus Homo; species Homo sapiens. Next base: position 8,852,643 of record NC_000020.11, on the reverse strand, counting down.
CTAAGCCAATTAATCCAAGAAGTGAGTGCCTCCTTATTCACTGTGTGCCCCTTGTCTGTAACTGACCCTCTACTGATGTGGCTTCTGTGGACAAAGGAAAGGTTAGAAGAGCAGATTTCCCAGGACCACAGGCCCATCTTAAGGAGGCTGGGATATGGCTAGTGGGAGTTCTGCCTTCCTCCACTTCTTGGGACAGAGGCCCTGATGTCAGTCCTGGAATATCAGGAATAAGGTAACTCAGAGTAGTTTCTGTCATTAGACTCAGACTGGATTGGACAGAATTGGTTTTGCTCAACTCTGTCCTGGAGGATTGTTTTGTGGTTGATGAAAAGGAACACTTTGTAACACAGCAATTTTCTTAGGTTCTTCAATTAGGAGTTAGAAAAATGATGGATCTTTCTTTTGGGAGACCAGCAAAAAGATATTCGCTAATGTCAGTAGGTACAATTTAGAAATGACACTTAGTAACCCCAGATGTGGCTGAAATGACAGAATAATTAGGAGGCAGAGATAAAACCTGGCAGCAGGAATGAACTGAGACAGCAGCCTATTTTGCAACTTTATATAAACAGTCATACAGTCTATAGTTCTTTGCATCTGGCTTCTTTTTTTGTTGTTGTAGATAGCTGTAGTCGGGTTTTTAAAAATTGCTATAAAGTATGTGAATACACCACACTTCATTTACCCATGCCACTGTTGATGGACATTTAGGTTGTTTCCAGTTTTTGCCTGTTACATGTGGTGCTTCTATGAACACTTGTACTGGGGGAAAAAGATGCCAGGGTTAAGGGTAACTGCCTCTAAATTGCAACTTCAGTTCAAGCAAAGAAAAGAGAACATTTCCCTAGAAAGATTCTCTTACTTTTGTGTGAGTCTCCTAAATGATGACACTCAGAATGAAAAAAAATGAAAAAAATGAAAAAAAAAAAAACCAAAAAAAGAAATGGAGATGGAAGCACAGGGCTGATGACTTCTGATGGATAGCAGCAGCTGGGGTGACTATGGCAGACATCACTAATCAATCTTAGTGGTACTTCCAGGCCATCTAGATAGCCTTGGAATCCTTATCAACAAAAAGTCCCAGGCATCTGCTACCATATGATGGAGTTGGCATGCAAAAAGTAACCCACTACCATACAGGATAAGGCACTTCGAACTGAAAGTTGAGTAGACACTCAGGGTTATTTTGCAGCCCAGTATAAATCTTCAAGCAATGACTACCTCCTAGGCTACTGTGGCCTGTTGAAGCAAGTTTATATAAGCAAACACATATATCATAAATTGCTAGGGACCTTGAATAACAGGAAATTAGCAGTTATTAAATGCAAATGACTTTAGGAGGAAGAGAGGTAAAGAAAAAGAGTGAAAAGCACTGGTGGTAGTCAGTGGTGGTATGTGAGTATAAGGTAACAAACAGTGATGGTGACTGTGGCTAAAGGGAGCACACAAGGTCATCTAATCGGGGATTCCACTCCTCAGATCCAGCTAATTGCTGCCAAGTCCATTGGAACATGGCCCCAGTGAGCCAGGTCTTTGAATATTTCAATTAAAGCAAGGAAACATTTTTAAAGGATATCTCCTTATTTTTAAAGTTGGCATCCTGTTCAACAAGAAGATGAAAGAACACTAAGAAAAAAACATTATAACAATGTGTGAGTACAATAAACCATGTTTGTGGATTATTCAGCCAGGTTACTGGTTGCGATCTCTGGCTTAAAGATTTTGGTTGGAATAGGAGCATCAGAGACAGGCTTCTGAAATAGGCTGCTGTCTCGGTTCATTCCTGCTGCTATAACATAATATCTTAGACCAGGTAATTTATAATTAATAGAAATTTATTTCTCACAGTTCTGGAGGCTGGGAATTCCAAGACCATGGCACCAGAAGATTTGGCGTCTGGTGAGGGCTCATCTCCTGCATCCAAGATGATACCTTTTTGCTGTGTCCTCACATGGCAGAAGGGCAAAAAGAGCAAAGCAGGCTCCCTCAAGCCCTTTTATAAGGGCACTATCCCCATTCATGGAGGTAAGGCCCTCATGACCTAAACCTCGTAAAGTCCTCACTTAATACTGTTTTACTAGGGATTAAATTTCAGCATGAATTTTGAAGGGACACATATATTCAAACCATAGCAACTTTATTCCTATTTTTTCGGATGTTAGAATGAAAAATCACCAGTCAACTGCCTTGGGAAGTTTAGCCTTTTATCTTTTCCTAACCCAGTAAAGGGAGCCTGGTCTGCTTTCTCAGGAATGTTTGACTCTGGATGTTCCTCTTCATCCATAATTCATGAGCACTATTGGTGCTACTACCTACATTTATACAGCGTCTTACATGCATGAACACACTGCCTGGCTCTGGAAGCACGATTAGAAAATGTTGTGCCTGTGGGTATTTTTGAGCATTTTAGTTTGCCCAAAAGCTGAAGAGTGTCTGCTCTGGCTATGACAGACATTAATATTCACAGTGGCATCTCCTTTGCTCAAGAAAAAAGAAATCTGCTGGGAGTCACACAGCTCTAAATTGAAATCTGTGCACATTTACACTTACGTGTTTTAAAGAGCTGGTTTAGAGTAGTGGTTTAGAGCACATGAGTTCTAGGGCCGGGCTGCTTCGTTCTTTTTTTTATTTTTAGACGGAGTCTTGCTCTGTCGCCAGGCTGGAGTGCAGTGGCGTGATCTCGGCTCACTGCAACCTCCGCCTCCTGGGTTCAAGCAATTCTCCTGCCTCAGCCTCCCAAGTAGCTGGGACTACAGGCCTGCACCAGCATGCCCAGCTAATTTTTGTATTTTTAGTAGATATGAGGTTTCACCATGTTGGCCAGGATGGTCTCGATCTCTTGACCTCGTGATCCGCCCACCTTGGCCTCCCAAAGTGCTGGGATTACAGGCATGAGCCATCGCGCTCAGCCCTGCTTGGTTCTTTTTTTTATATTTTCTTTTAATTTTTAATTTAATTTTATTTTATTGAGATGGAGTCTTGTTCTGTCACCCAGGCTGGAGTGCAGTGGCATGATCTCGGCTCAACGCAACCTCCACCTCCTAGATTCAAGCGATTCTCCAGCCTCAGCCTCCCACATAGCTGGGACTACAGGCGCACACCATCATGCCCTACTAATTTTTGTGTTTTTAGTAGAGATGGGGTTTTGCCATGTTGGCCAGGCTAGTCTCGAACTCCTGACCTCAGGTGATCTGCCTGCCTCGGCCTCCCAAAGTGCTGGGATTACAGGTGTGAGCCACCGCACCCGGCCCTGCTTGGTTCTTAACTCTGTCAGTGAATAGTTGTATGAGCTTGAGCCAGTGGCCAGTCTGCATCTCAGTTTCCTTACATAAAATGATAATGATGGAGCTGACATCATAGATATTGTGGATGATTACAGAAGACAGCTCAGTGCTTGGGTAGGTAGTAAGAACTCAATATCAAGATTTTGAATAATCTCTCATTAGTCAAAAAATGGGAAGCAGTGCCCACTTGAGTGTTTGGCTTCTCTTTTATTTCTACGACCACATATAACTATAGCATTTTAGCAGAAAGAGCTTTGAGAAGCAGAGGGTGCAGTCAGCCTAAATTTCCCTCTCTTGTTCTGAAAGCCTGCAGCCATTCTCTCCCAGGACAAACTGTTTACAGATTCTAAGTGTTTGGCTTCCAAGCCCCCAAAATGCAATCCATTTAGAAAAGCATGAAAAATTCCTCTTTTGAAATTCCAAGTGTGGCTCCCAAGCTCTGACTAGTACTAAGAAATGTTAGGCAGCAGAGAGAAAAGAGGGGAAGCTATTCTTCTTTAGCTCTGATCCTTCTGCAGAGTTTGTCTTTCTAAGTGCACCCTGTGGACAACTGACATCAGAATCACTGGGGGGAACCTGCTACAAAGAGAGTCTCAGTCCTCATCCCGGACTTCCAGATGTGGGCAAGACAGGCCCATCCCTTGGGCCCTCATGGCCCCCCAGCCCTCCTTCATCCACACACTCCTCATGAGGTGAGTAGCTTAGTACACAAGACTATGACTCCTGCACATGGAGACATGGCCTCCCTAATGCTGGGGTACCCAGATGTGATATAAGAAATATATTTAGTCTTTGTCCCAGGTTTCTGGCATAGACCTCCTAAGACGCTTGGGTTTTTCACAGTGATAAGGAGGCCTTGTGTAAACCCCTTTCAATCATATCTGAATTTATGTTAATAAGTAGATTTAGAATAGGGCCCCTGGAGAGCCTCAGGATAGGGGTGATCACCAGACAGATCAACTGACTGGAGGGTTGGAACTTTCAGCCTCCCTCACTAACCTGGTGGGAGAGCTAAAGATTGAGTTATAAAAACTCTTAAATAATGATGTAAAGCTTCCAGGTTGGTGAATACATCCATGAACTAGGAGGGCAGCACACCCTAACTCCGTAGGATCATAAGCTCATGTTCTTGGGACTCTTCCAGACCTTGTCCTGTGCTATGATTTGAATGTGTTCCCTCTAGAGTTAAAGTGTTGAAACTTAATGGCCAATGTGATGGTATTAACAGGTGGGGCAAACAAGAGGTGATTAAGTCAAGAGGGCCCTTTTTCATGAGTGTGATTAAGGTCCTTAGAAAGGCTTTTGATAGCATTGGTCTCTCTTGCTCTTCTGTCTTCCATCATGTGAGGACATGGCGTTCCTCCCCTCTGGAAGATGCAGCCCTTACCAGACAACCGAACCTGCTGGCGCCTTGATTTTGGACTTTCAAACCTCCAGAACTGTGAGAAAATAGATTTCTGTTCGTATAAATTGCCAGTCTCAGGCATTTTGTTATAGCAGCACAAAGCAGACTACGATACCCTATATACCTCTTCATCTGGCTGTTGATCTGTATCCTTCTTGATAAACTGTAAATCTAAATGTAAGTAAAGTGGATTTTCTGAGTTCTGTGAGCTGTTCTAGTAAATTATTGAAGCTGAGGACAGTGTTGTGGGAACCTCTGACTTACAGCTGGTTGGTCAGAAGTATGGGTGGTCCAAGTCTTGCAACTGGCACCTGAAGTGGGGGCAGTCTTGTGGGACTTAAGCTGTGGGGTCTGCCCTAAATCCAGGTGCATCAAAATTGAATTGAATGGTTCGACATTCAGCCGATGTTGGAGAAGAGATTGGTGTCAGAAAACACTTCAACAAGATACCAAAATTCCCTTCCCAACTGGCCCCAAGACCCCTTTTTAGGCCCTCTTCCTCTTCCTCTAATGGCAGACCTTGCAGTCATTTTGCAAAGGTCTAAGTTCAAGAGTGACCAAGGGCTGGGTGTTTGAAAGGGAGTAAGGACAGATCTTGGATGTGTGTCTAATTCTATATACAGAAGATTCTTCATGGTGCAAGAAAGTATAGGAGTGGGTGGGAAGTAGAAAGACAAGGTGAAAGGCTATAGATTGAGAGCTTTCTTTTGTCTCAGATCCTGCAAATATTAGGAAGTGGTGATCCTGAGCTTCAGAATCAGAATGTCTGAGGATGGTGTGTGAGAATCTTGCTAGTGTCACTAAATTGATTTAAACAGAAGTCTTCAACCTTGGCTTCATATTAGAATCACTTGGGTAGCTTTTAAAATGCCCAGGCTTTTCCCACCCCTTGAAATGACCATATCAAGATCTTTGGGGCTGAGACCAAAACATCAGTATTTCTCAAAGCTCCTCTGATTCCAATATTTAGCTTAGGTTGAGAGTCCTTGTCTCAGAAGGTTAGAAAGGCAAATAAAGAAGTGAGATGGATGGTTGGCAAGGTGTCAGTGTAGTGGAGGTGGGACTTATGGTGAAGGATAAATCATGGGCTCTCGAAAGCTAGTGGCCTCTACTCTGCTCCAGTGGACTTTTGTATGGACCATGTATGGAAGCAGACTTGCCCTGGCCGGATCTTCCCAGACTTCAAGAGACGCTTCAGGTGCTTATGCTTATGTGAAACTTCACACTTTGTACATGTCAGCAGCTAATTCTTTACTGTGTTAATCAATATGATACAAGCCAGGGGAAACAGCTTCTGTCATGATTTGGTGTTTAAGCTACTAGTTTGGGCTTTTGAGTTAGAATCTTCCTACTCAAAGTGTGGTCCACGGACCAGTAACATTAGCATGACCTGGGAGCTCGTTTTAAAGTCAGTAACAAAGTGTACTTGTTACAAAGTGCACCTAGACCTACTCTATTAAAATCTGCATTTTAATAGAACCTCAAGTTGATTAGCATGCATATTAAAGTTTGAGGATCCCTGAGTAGTAGGTTGTACCAGTGTTGTGCTACCAAAACCCAAACCATAGGTGATATGGTTTGGATTTGTGTCCTCCCTCAAATCTCATGTTGAATTGTAATCCCCAGTGTTGGAGGAGGGGCCTGCTGGGAGGTGATTTTATCATGCGGGCAGATTTCTCCCTTGCTGTTCTCATAATAGTGAGTGACTTCTCATGAGATCTGGTTGTTTAAAAGTATGTGGCACCTCCCCCTTTATTCTCTTCTTCCTGCTCCAGCCATGTAAGAAGTGCCTGCTTCCCCTTCACCTTCTGCCATGATTGTAGGCTTCCCCAGCCATGCTACTTGTACAGGCTGCAGAGCCAATTAAACCTCTTTTCTTTATTAATTACGCACTCTCAGGTAGTTCTTTATAGATGTGTGAGAATGGACTAATACAATAGTTGCAATTCCTTCGTGTGATACCAGTTTTGCTGGGTTTCCTGATTATGGAATTATATAGCCCCTGCTGTGTGTCTCTACAATCAACACCTCCCTACAGGACACTTGGCAGCCAGGTGTATCTTCCAATGTGTCCGCATTGCGTACTTAATGCGTATTGTATTATATAACTGTTGAATGTAATGCATTAAATATGTGAATTATATTATGTTGGTTAATTGTGTTAAACAAATCCTCTGTGTGCTTAGTGATTTTCTTTTTTTTTCCTTCCTGCTTATTTTGTTAGTAACAGAGAGGGATATGCTAAAATCTTCATCTGTGATTCAGGATTTATTTAATTCTCCATATAATTGTCAACCAAAAAAACCCTTGATATAGTTGTTTTAATATTAGATGAAGTAGCCTTAAGGCAGCCCGACCCAATAGAACTTTCTGTAATGATGGAAATGTTCTCTGTGCTATCCCATAGGGTAACCAATAGCCCTATTGAGCATCTGAAATGTGACTAGCACAAAGGCGGGGCTGAATTTTTATATTTTTCTTTAATTAATTTAAATTTAAATAAGCACATGGCTAATGGCTACTGTATCGAACAGCATTACTTTAAGGCAAGAAAATACAGAAAGAACATTTCATAATAAAGAGATCAATGTATTTGAGAAACAATACTAAAAATGTATACACCCAATAATTATACCTTCAAACTATATGAAGCAAAAATTAACAGATCTAATATGCTTAGATATGTTCAAAGAGACAAGGCTTATAGCATGGGAACTTCCTGTATCTTTCCTGCCTCCAAAATGCCACAACACCCTAGTCACCAAAAGAACTCATGATCTGTTTAATTGGGAAGAAAAACATAATCTAGTACTTTATTTTATTTTATTTATTTATTTTTTTGAGACAGAGTCTTGCTCTATTGCCCAGGTTGGAGTGCAGTGGCGTGATCTCGGCTCACTGCAAGCTCCCCATCCCGGGTTCACACCATTCTCCTGCCTCAGCCTCCCGAGTAGCTGGGACTACAGGCGCCCACCACCTCACCCGGCTAATTTTTTGTATTTTTTTTCAGTAGAGATGGGGTTTCACCATGTTAGCCAGGATGGTCTCAATCTCCTGATCTCGTGATCCGCCCGCCTCGGCCTCCCAAAGTGTTGGGATTACAGGTGTGTGCCACCGTGCCTGGCCTAATCTAGTACTTTAAATCCGTAGTCTTTTAAGATGCATGCATATGTTCAGAGGATAAAAGGAAAGATGATCTATTGGATTATGGGAAAAGTGTACTAGAATTTCACTTGTAAGGGAAATTAGCTTTACTCATACCTATTGACACTGGCACCACATTAGTTTGTTAAAAGGTTGTTAGTGACTTACAGGGCTTGAGACCTGAGGAAAGAAGAGGGCACCACACCTTTCCCCTCCCCCGTCCTTTTTTTTGATACCAGGTCTCACTTTGTTACCCAGGCAGGAGTGCAGTGGCCTAATCATAGCTCAATGCCTTGAACTCCTGGACTAAAGTGATCCTCCTGGCTCAGCCTCCCAAAGCATTAGGATTACAGGCATTAGCCATGGAACCTGGCCTGTCCCACACGTTCAAGGGCTTGGACAGTGGTGCCCTTGCTTATACGATGACTTTTCAGCTTGTTTCAACACATTCAGTGTACACATGCTCAGATTCAATGGATTTACAGGCTACCTTATCTATTTTAACCAAACAAACCCTCACCAAATGGACTAAACCCTGCAAAGACATTGAGATGAACCACATTAGCAATTGTGCCAACGGCAAACAAAAGGACAACGGCAGAGTTGAGAGCTGACGTTTTCTCCTTTCCTACATTCTGAGGTGAAAACAATCAGATATTGCAGGAGAATCCATTTAAAAAGTAATTTTATGAAGAAGACTGTTTGAAATATGTATTTACTTTCTCACAGCTAACAGTGAGTTTTGCCTTAAGTGTATGGCATGTTAATGAAAGTGGCAAGCCATTGTAATTAGCAGGCACTTAAAAATTAAGCATCCATCAGAAAGTCAAACCTTTACAACTGGTAGATGGGAATGAATAAAAGGAGTGTAATGAAGCAGTAGCCTCGGCAAAGGATGCACACCTTCCATTTTAATCTTCAAATCTGTGTGAGGAATCTTTTTTTTCCCCAGCAGTGACAGCCATTAAAACCAAATATGGAAAAGAAAATCCAAACTTAAGATCAGAGTTTTGGATTCCTGTATCAAAGTGTTAAGTGAGGAGTTTTGAAAATAATAAAGTCTATTCAAACACATGGACTCTCTATATGGAGGGCAAAGATTTGTTTTGAATCATTAACAAACAAAATAAAACATTATTTTCATCTTTATTCTTTCTCATTATTTATATTTTATCATTTAAAATATATATATTATACATTCATTTATGATGAACACATGTGTTAGTCTAGTAATACCTACAACGTAAAAATGAACACACAAATAAGTGAATATGCCTATGATGGGGGTTGTGAGTGTCTAATTTTTAGGGCATGAAATGGAAAAGTTTGGATACCACTGCATCAAATTACTGGCCTAATATTTAATTTTGTTCTAGTGGAACACTAAAAGGTATTGGGTTGCCAATGCCCAACTTTAATTTTCACAAAAATAAAATTTGCCAAAGCCAGGAGATCCTAACTTTGAAATAGTTACTACTTTACAGGGGTTCCATTATTTATAGTGTAGATATTCCACAAAATTTCTGTCTAGGTGATGGTACCAGGTTATGATTTATTTACAATTTGGTAAAACAAAATGGGTGAAAGGTTGCCATGCTTCAAGTTCAAATACTCATTTTCAACCCAGATTTTGTAGGTTTTCTAATATTTTAAAAACTTAATGTGTAAGTTAACATCAATTAAAGAATATATATCCAAATACATATTTTGGTACAAAACTAATTGTGGTTTTAGCCATTACTCTCAATTGCAAAGACTGCAATTACTTTTGCACCAACCTAAATTTTTCTCTTTTATATTTCGGCCTGTTGTTATTGCCAAATCATTTAACTATTAAGGGAGGCAACCACCCATCATATTGTCTTATACCCAATTTCTGCCTCCAAAGAAAGAAGAAGTAAAAACTAAAAGGCAGAAACGGAATCCACAGGCAGATAGCCCAGCACCGCGCCCTGGGCCTGGTAGTTAAAAATCAACCCCTGAGCTAACTGCTTGTGTTATCTATAGATTTCAGACATTGTATGGAAAAGTATCGTGAAAATCCCGTCCTGTTCTGTTCTGATTACCGGTGCATGCAGCCCCCAGTCACGCACCGCCTGCTTGCTCAATCAATCATGACCCTTTCACTCATACCCCCTTAGAGCTGTAGGCCCTTAAAAGGGACAGGAATTGCTCACTCCGGGAGCTCAGTTTTTGGAGACATAAGTCTGCCGATGCTCCCAGCTGAATAAAGCCCTTTCCTTCTACAACTCGGTGTCTGAGGGGTTCTTGTCTGCGGCTCGTCCTGCTACACTATCAAGTCTATGAATAAAACCTATTACGTACAGAATCCACATAATCTCTTAAGTTCAAATCGAAATAATACAAAACACTTCAGTAGAAGATTTTGCATTGCCATGAAGCACTTTATGTGTTTAAAACCACACTTCTGAATAAATTGTAAGGCTAGACTTACAAACAGTCAAAATCAGTAATCATTAGCAAGAAGTTCTAATAATAAATAGCTGTTTATTTGATAAAAGGTAGACAATAGCCACTAAAATTAATTAAATATTAAAAATTCATATTAAAATATCATGCGCTTTCTATGTAAGCATTTTTTACTGATTGTTTGCTTATCCCTGGGCTTGAGTTAGATGGTTCTGATCATTCTGTCCAGGTTTTTAGACTATTGCAAAGCATGGCATGTGCAGTGGTCAAATCTCATTCAATCTTACACTGATGTCATCATTTCCTTGTTTTATCTGAATAGTGGTTATATAAGCCAAGGTACTTCCAAACCTATAGGCAAAGATTATTAACACCAACTATAATAGGGGTTGGGCAATGTTAATGTCTTATTTCCATTTACTCTCTATTATCCCCAAACAGAGAACACATCACATAACTAGGTTTTGCAGAAAGCTAAAGAATTAAGGCCCCTGCAAACAAGTTCAACATTTCAATAAAATGACCCCATGATGATACCACAGGTGTGAATCACACATCAAGGATATGCGCTCAGAGTCCATTGAGAACTTAAATTTCAAACTGCAGAGTCTGACAGCTCCCTGACACAAATACAACCAACAGAAACTGTGACCTGCGTGGTTCAGAGCTTATTTCCTTCATTGGCATCCTGGACTTTAATTTTAAGATCAATTAGCACACGTGTAAGAGTGGAGATATAAGTCAGGAGTTGCATGCACACATATACCCCTTGCCAGCAAAAGGATTTGTCTTACGGAAAGACAGAGGTAGGAAGGCAGAAAAAACTTGATATTCAACAGAACAAAGAATTAAGAGAGCTGTTGATCTTAATCACAATCATTGTACTGATTTCCTTTTAATAATGATCTGTTTTAGAAGGAAAATGGTAAACAAATTAGCCTGATGATTCCCACAAGGGGAAAAATAATTTGTATTTATAACAGTCACGATAAAGCATTCTGTTCTTTAAAATATGGCCACAACTAAAAGTAATTATGGTAACAGTGACAAAGAGTATTATTTTAGAAATGGCTCCATAAAATGATTTAATAGCCATTACTCACACATTTTAAGGAAATTGTCTTGTAGGATAACACCAGGCTATTTCTCTATATAGGTTGCAATCATAGAAAATGGTGATGACTTATTTTTTTTAAAGTTATTGTTGTAGGATGCTATGCATGCATATGAAATAAAAGCTGATGGCTGGGTGCAGTGGCTCACAGCTATAATCCCAGCACTTTGGGAGGCCAAGATGGGCAGATCACCTGAGGTCAGGAGTTCGAGACCAGCTTGGCCAACATGGTAAAACACCATCTCTACTAAAAATACAAAAATTTTTTTTGTATTTTTGTATTTTGGTTGGGTGTGGTGGCAGGCACCTGTAATCCCAGCTACTCCGGAGGCTGAGGCAGGAGAATCACTTGAACCCAGGAGGCAGAGGTTGCAGTGTGCTGAGATCGCACCACTGCACTCCAGCTGGGTGACAAGAGCAAAACTCCATCTCAAAATAAATATATATAAAAGAAAAGCTGATTTCAAATTTAAAAAGGGGGGAAGTGATTTAGTACAATATGTAGCTCAGATTATATTTTTCTTGATGAGATTCGGTCTTAAAGGGGTCTCTGCCAAATTCAAATAGAAAATGAAATCAGTGGAGGGTTCTGTGTTGAATTTCCTCTTATGGCATTTATGAAGATATTGCCTCCAAAAGGAAAGCATGCAGGCCAAAGTGAAGTTATGAAAGTCTGGAACTTTAAAAGAGGGAATCCACAGCTTGTTCTGAGACCATTTGCTCAAGCCAGTCCCTCTACAGACGTCCCACCTTTGCCAGGCATCCTGCAAGACCTAACTCATTGTTTTCCACCCAGCTCACCATGTTCTTGCTACTGTGTAGCTTCCTCAGAGCACTCACTCTATTTTTGGAGCTTCTGTCAACCTATGGCCCATGTCACACAGTCTAGCCCTTGTCTCATCTCTTCATTCCACTTGGCTATATTGCCCTAGTGAGATTACTAAAAGCAGAGACTGTGCCCTTTCATCTTTAGAAGCTTGCCCTATTTCTAGATTGGCTGACTGAGGCGCAGGGCTATGCTTGAGGCTTGGGCTTATCTAGGAAGAGACCCATTAATATTGCTTCAGTTCAGTCTGTGAAGCAGTACTTAGGGGCCCTGTGAATGTCAGAGAAGAATTCTCAGTGATTCTATGTGATATGAACAGAACATTGAGGAAAATATGTGAGAAAAAAACAACATATAAATCAGCCCTGATTAGGTTAGAGTCCACCACACAAGCTTTTTTTTTTTTTTCTGAGACAGAGTTTCTCTCTGTCACCCAGGTTGGAGTGCAGTGGCGCGATCTTGGCTCACTGCAACCTCCATCTCTTGGGTTCAAGCGATTCTCCTGCCTCAGCCTCCCAAATAGCTAGGACTACAGGCATGTGCCACCACGCCCAGATAATTTTTGTATTTTTAGTAGAGACCGGGCTTTGCCATGTTGGCCAGCCTGGTCTCAAACTCCTGACCTGAGGTGATCCACCTGCCTCGGCCTCCCAAAGTGCTGGCGTGAGCCACCGCACCTGGCCAAGGCTTTTTTTTTTTTTTTTTAAGAATTACTAAAAAATAATGTGACTGAGAAATCAAAAGCAGATAGGCTTTCTAGCATGCTGCGATAATGTTTGATTCCTGGCTTTATTACCTGTGATTTTTGTGACCAGTCACTTACCTGCTTTGAGGTTTCCGTTTCTTCACTTGTAGGGATGTGTGTGGGTGGGTGATGGCAATGGTGTTAAGATCTACTTCCAAGCTTTATTGGGACATGACACATAATATTAAATCTAGACACCACTGGATCTGCTGAATCATATGGCCCAAGTGACAGAGCTGCTTGCATAGCAGCCTGGACCTGTTATAAAACCTTCTCTTGTTCTGGGATCCACTCAAAACTAGCAGCTTCTTGGGTCACTAAATAAATGAGTGGGAGTAACACACCCAAATGAGCAATATATTGCCTCCAAAAATTGAAAGAAGCTCACTAGGCATTGTCCGTCTTTTTTGATTTAGGAGGGGCAAGATGCAATATCTTATCCTTCACTTCAGAAGAATATCTCAACATGTCCCACGCCACTGGACTCCTAGGAATTTCACTGAGGTAGAAGGTCCCTAAACTTTGTCAGATATATCTCCTACCCTCTGACATGCAAATGTCTTGCCAATAAAACTAGAGTAGTTGCTACTTCTTGCTCACTAGGTCCAATCAGCATAATGTCATCTATGTAATGGACTAGTGATGAAAGCCAATTAAGATCCCTGTGAACTAAATTATAACATAGGGCTGGAGAGTTGATATGCCCCTTATGTAGGACGGTGTAGGTGTATTGCTGGCCTTGACAGCTGAAAGCAAACTGCTTCTCACGAGCCTTATTGACAAGGATGGAAATAAAGGCATTTGCCAGATCAATAACTGCATACCAAGTACCAGGGAATAGCTCAAGTAATGAAACCACATCTGGTACAACAGCTGCAATTGGAGTCACCACCTGGTTAAACTTTCCATGTTACTCTCCATCATCCAGTTTTCTGCACGTCAAGTAAGTTGAATGGGAGTATAGTGAGACTCACCAGCCCTGCGACTTTGAAATTCTTGATGGTAGCACTAATCTCTGCCATCCTTCAGGAATGTGGTACTGCTTTTCGTTTACGAATTTCCTAGGTTGAAACAGTTCTAGTGGCTCCCACTTGGCCTTTCCCTCTGTAATAGCCCTCACTCCACAGGTCACAAGAACCAATATAGCAGTTCTGTCAGGGAATTTATCTATTCCAAGTATACATTTCAGACTAGGAAAATAACCACGGGATAAGTTTAGAGACTCATGAACTTCACTGTGAGATGGACCTGAATTAAAACTCTGTTGATCACCTGACCTCCATTAGCCCTACTCTGCCTGGTGGACCACAGTGAAATACTGGGCCTTCTGGAATAAGTGTCAGTTCAGAGCCAGTGGTCAGTAGTCTCCAACAGGTCTGATTATTTCCTTTTCTCCAATGCATAGTCACCTGGTAAAACACCATAGGTCCATTTGGAGAAGGATGGGAGAAAGATGAACAGTATAAATTTTCAGTAATATACAGGAGTCTTTCCTCAAAGAGACTCAGCCTCCCCTTCATTGAAAGGGTTTTGGGTCTATAAACTGGCTCAAGTATGGGAATTCCTTGAAGGATAGTGACTCTATGCTTTCATGATTCAGGTAATACTTTTTTTTTTTTTTTTATTTGACATAGAAATTTTCAGCTTACAGAGAGCAAAAAAGAATTTAGTCACCAGCCTATCTCTTTTACTTTCCAGGAACACCATGATCAACTGGCCAGTGCCATGGTTCTCTGTGAGTTAGAGAATTTTGGTTGCTGCCTGACTCCACTGTTCATCATGGTAATCACGGCCACATTGCCTTTGACGGTCGAGTGCTGCCACTTGGCCCCTGCCACCCTGGGATCCAATTATTCCCATTACATTTAGATTTCTCAATTCAGTGACTGCAGTTTCCATTGTAAGTTCTGGCCTACAGAGTAGAGTGTCACAGAGCTCTTCAAGGATGCTGGGACTCCCTCACAAACTTACTTCCCACAGTTATGGTGAAAGGTATGTCTCCAGGACTCTCCCAATGTGAGTGAGTCATTCTTGAATGACAAACCCACTCTAACATCCCAATGTCTCTAAGTCATTTAATCCCTCCCTCTACATTAAACCAAGGGAAGTTCAGCATTTCCAACTTGCTCACTGTGGGTGACCTTCTGGCCCATGTTTCAGCCAACTGACTAAACAAACTATTACAGCACTTTCCAAATGCCTGAGCTGCAAAATTAAATGCATGCTGTCTGCTTCCTTTATCCATATCAATAAATTCATTTTGATCTAATTTGTGTTTCTCCTACCATTATCCTATGTTCTTAATATGCATTCCCTCACAGTTTTCCAAACTTTTCTATTATAAATTAGAAAATTTAAATACTTAATACTTATTTGGAGTATAGCATAAATCCTCATGAGTTGCACTTTGTACGTCACCTTTAGGGGCCTCTTTGGACTTGAATGTAGTTACAGGTCTAGAAACAAAGAGGGGTCCTGAATAGAATCAGCATCATCTTGCATGGCAACTGCCTTGAGGGAGGCCCTTAGAGTTTCCTCTGGTGATGCAGGATTAATCCCCTTAGAAGAGGCTGGAGAGGGCTCTTCTGCTGGCAAAGAACCCTCATCATAATTTAGGGGCTCAATGTCCTCAGCTTCATCGGGGCTGAAGCTGATCTCCATTCCAACTTTGAGCAACGCATTCCTTCCTAGTTAATACACTGACTTTAACAGTAGACACCTTGTGAGGCTGAGGGTTCAAATTGTGTTGGTTCAGCCAGTCACAGGATGAGATCCTGCATTTGATTTTCAGTGATCTTAGTCCTAAGGCTATAGGAGATAAAGGTCTCCTCGAGGGCAGACATAGCAGCTTTGAGATCATGTATGCAGCATTTGACCTGGGAATTCAAACCCTGAGCTCATTCTTTGTTCGATGACAATAGAAGCCAATCTCTTTACATTTGTTACTTTGCCAATCATGTTCAAAAGCATCATATACACAGTCACCAAAATCTTTGCTTCTT
Source organism: Homo sapiens (assembly GCF_000001405.40). Lineage (NCBI taxonomy): Eukaryota > Metazoa > Chordata > Mammalia > Primates > Hominidae > Homo > Homo sapiens. Next base: position 8,836,693 of record NC_000020.11, on the reverse strand, counting down.
ATAAGTGGTTGATTAGGAGTATCCAATGGTAATATTTATATATCTCTATTGACAGAGTACACCACGGACTATCTATCAGTGCCCTCTTTATTAATGGAAACAGAGTTATTAGCATCGTTAAACCTAATCAGATGAGAGAACCAATGCCAGAAACCTCAGAACCAATTCAGGAAACTCATCCTAAAAATTCTCTTCCTCTAGAACCACTCTTGGGACAAAAATCTGTATCAGTCTTGGTTCTCCAGAGAGACAGAATCAATAGTGTATGTGTGTGTGTGTAATACCCCATCAGCTCTCCTCATTCTCAGGCCATCAGACTCAGACCAAGTGAATGGGCACCCTGTGGACCAGTCAAGTTAACACATACAATTAATTAGCATATTATGTATAGATTGAAAAAATGGCCACAGTTATTTTTCAGCTCCTCCTATTAACACTTAAAGTCTACTTCTTTCCCACTTGAATCTGGGCAGTTATTGGGGTTTGCTTTGGACAGTAAAATGTGGTCAAAGTGACAATATGCCAGTTTTGGGCCTAGGCCTTAAGAAGTCTATGCTCCTGCTTTTGAGCAAGCTTTGATTAGCCTGCTAGAAGAAGAGAGACACAGGGCCCCGTCACTCCTGCTGTCCCAACTGCCAGCCAGTCAGCTGCCAGCCAGGTAGGTAAGACCATCCTCAACTAGCCAGACTTCAGTTGATCTGCTAGCTGAACACAGATACCTGCCTAAGACCAGCTGGGATCAATGAAGCCCAAGGCAAAGCAGCAGAAAGGTTCAGCTGACCCATAGACTTGTGAGCAGTAACATGGTTATTGTCTCAACAGTGATTTGTTTTCAAGTCACTAAGTTTTGAAGTGGTTTGTTATGCAGCCAAAGCTCACTGACCCAGATGCCTTGTCAGTCATTTTAAGTTAGAGTCGTCTGCTTTGGACCATTTCCTGTGCCCTCTGAGGTGGGAATCATGAAATATGTATGGAGAAACTTTTAAATCTATTATGCAGTTTATAAAACATAAACTCTCATAAGCTGGTTCTACATGTATATGCATTGTCATTATAGACAGACAGCCCTACTCAAGAGTCCACAAATGAATTCGAACCACAATACTCAGGACAGGCTAGTAAAACAAGATATGCCTGGAATTCTTTGTTTCATAAATGAGTAGATTGCTATATATAAGTCATAATAGAATTGGATGAATTACTTTTTATACAGCATAGATCTCTAAAGCCTGTGGTTAGGGACTTAAAATAAGGTTTCATGGGTATAACCAGAAAAAAAAAATACTCTTAAAAAGGAAAGAATGTGACAACGGTGGAGACCCTGAAATAGGTCTAACAAAATAACCAAAAGCAGACAAAAAGCCATGTCCATGGTCTATCAAGCCTGCTACCAGCCTCACCTCAAGGGCACTCCGAATTCATCTGCTACTCATCTCCTGTGGCTCTCAGTCCCTCTTGCACTTGCTGCCTCATTGTTCAACAAGCCAGGCCCTTAGCTTTTGAAATTTACTCTTCCTAGAAATTTTACTCTTCCCACAGATCCCTTATGGCTCACTCAACTCCTCTCCTGTTATGGTTAATTTTATGTGTCAATTTGCTGGGACACAGAGTGCGCAGATATTTGGTCAATCATTATTCTGAATGTTTCTGTGAGGGTGTTTTTGGATGAGATTAGCATTTAAATCAGTAGCCTGAGCAAAGCAGATTACCCTCCCTAATGTGGGAGGGCCTCATCCAACCAGTTGAAGGTCTGAATAGAACAAAGGTTAACATTCCCCTGAGTAAGAAAGAATTCTCCTGCCTGATGGCCTCTGAACTAAGACATTGGTTCTTTTTTATTCTACAGCAGCCTGTGGTTTTTTTTTTTTTTTTTTTTTTTTTTTCTGAGGCAGAGTCTATCGCCCAGGCTGGAGTGCAGTGGCGCGGACTTGGCTCACTGCAACCTCTGCCTCCCAGGTTCAAGCAATTCTCCTGTCTCAGCCTCCCGAGTAGCTGGGATGACAGGCATGCACCACCACACCCAGCTAATTTTTGTATTTTTAATAGAGATGGGGTTTCACCATGTTGGCCAGGCTAGTCTTGAACTCCTGACTTCAAGTGATCTGGCCGCCTTGGCTTCCTGAAGTGCTGGGATTACAGGTGTGAGCCACTGTGCTGACCAGCAGCCTGTGGCTTTTGAACTCAAACTGGGACATCTGCTCTGCAGATTTTGGACTTGCCAGCCTCCATAATCACATGAACCAATTCCCTTGCAATAAATCTCATACACATACACATACATATGTAAGGGTGAATATCTCCTATTGGTTCAATTTCTCGGGGGAACTCTGACTGATATATCTCCTTTCTGGAGGTCACCTTCTCGGTGAAGTCTTCCATAATCATCCTATTAAACCAGAAAACTATTCCCTATCCCTCTTTCTTTCTTAATTCTCTGTAGTTTCTTTTTACTACATCCAACATGCTATAACTTTACCTCTTTATTTTATGTATTGCTTGCCTATGAAAACTTAATGGGAGCAGGGATTTTTGTTCATCTTTCCCCTCACTTCCCCAGGCTTCTCCAGCATGCAGAACAATGCCTGGCACATAGTACATGCTCAATAAATATTTGCTGAATATTTATTCAACAAATAATATTGAATGAATGAACTTGAAAAGAAAGAAATTCAGTAGTTCAAATGTTGCTTTTGATCAGATTTTTTTTTTCTGAGCTCTGAAGATTTCACACATACAACCCACAAGAAATGTGGTTGTAAAGGTCTGCATAACTGCCACAGAGAATATTCCAGAAGGATGGGCAAGAGCATGGAAGGGAAAAAGACCTTTCAGATACTTCACCTGGAAAAGCAGACATTAGGGAAGGTATGAATAAATGGAGGAAACAGAATTCGTTGTTAGCGTATTAGTTTTTTACAGCGGCTATATTGACTTACCAAAAATTGAGTGGCTTAAAACAATAGAAATGTATTCTTTCACAGTTCTGGAGGCCAGAAATCTGAAATCAACATGTCAGCAGGGCCACACTCCTTTGGGGGAATCAGTTCCTTGCTTCATTCACTTCCTAGTAGCTGTCACCATTCCTTGACCTGAGCCTGCACCACTCCAATCTCTGCCTCTGTGGACACATTGCCTCCTCCTCCTCTTCTTTCTGTGTGAAATCTCTCCCTGCCTCACTCTTTTAAGGACATACATCGATATGGTTTGGCTGTGTCTCTACCCAAATCTCATTTTGAATTGTAGATCCCATAATCCCCATGAGTAATGGGAGGGACCCAGTGGGAGGTAACTGAATCATGGAGGTGGGTTTTTCCTGTGCTGTTCTCATGATAGTGAATAAGTCTCATGAGATCTGATGGTTTTATAAAGGACAGTTCCCCTGCACATGCTCTTTTGCCTGTCGTCATGTAAGACATGCCTTTGCTCTTCCTTTGCCTTCCGCCATGATTGTGAGACCTCCCCAGCCATGTGGAACTATGAGTCCATTAAACCTCTTTTTCTTTATAAATTACCCAGTCTCTGGGATGTCTTTATTGGCAGCATGAGAACAGACTAATACACACATCATTGGATTTAGGGCCCACATGGAAGACCCAAGATAATCTCCTCATTGCAAAATCCTTACCTTTATAACATCTTTAAATATCTCTTTTCCAAACAAGGGAACATTCACAGGTTCCAGGAAACAGGATAAGGACATGTCTTTTTGGTGACCACCACTCAACTCATAACAGTGAGATAAGAAATTGGATTGTGCCGTGATTCCACAATGACAATCCTTAAGGTTGTCCAGCTGCCGACATGAGGGTACTTTCTGAGGGATGTGGGCCTTTGTAATCAAGACAACTAAACCCTCGCAGGGTTCCCTAAGGACTCAAACTAATTCAAATTAATAAGTAAAGTTTTAAACAGTTACTTATTAAGGTAAAGTTCGTTTTCAGGAAGCCATGTGCTGAAAGCAAGACCAAGCGTTTTCTTTAGACAAGGGAGTCACCTGTGGGCCAGGCTTTCGATTCTGATTCTTTTCTCTCACTTCTCCTAATCTTATGATAGGGATTCCTATAATCTGGCTCAAGAGTTATCATGTGCTCTAATCCATGGAAAGGCAATACATTGCACTTCGCACTCAAATTTTTAAAATGTTATCAAGGTCATCTCTTAAGCAATTTCTTAAGCAGAACAAGGACATGCGAAGAGATCCAAGTTCAGAATTTCTGGCTGTTTTTCCTGATGCTAGTCTCTATAACCCATGACTGTATTTTCACGTTTCCCTGATGTTCAGGAAGCTTGAAACTTTTAAATGAAATTTAATTAGTTTAAAGTATTATAATGGGCAGTTTTCAGGACCAAGTGTTCCACAATTTATTTAAATATCCCATATAACCCTCCAGTTCCCTGAGTAAGTATAAACAACTATTCTATTTAAATTTTAAGATGCTAAATTTTATTATAGCCAGAAATAGTTTCTTTTTGCTGTTAGAAGTGGAACCACTCAAGTCTCTGACCTTACCATTCCTAGGCCAATAAAATATCTATTAAAAGGTCATATGCCAGTGACATGTAATATCTACTGAGTGAATTCATAAGTCGGATTCTGGCATTAAAAACTCTGAAAATTAAACTTTCACTACCCTGGGCACCCTGCCTATGGGATAGCCCTGCTACACAAGGAGCAATACGAAAGAAAGAAAGAAGCACAGAAAGAAAGAAGGAAAGAAAGAAAGAAAGAAAGAAAGAAAGAAAGAAAGAAAGAAAGAAAGAAAGAAAGAAAGAAAGAAAGAGAAAGAAAGAGAGGGAGAAAGAAAGAGAAAGAAAGAAAGAAAATTAAATTTCAACTGAAAATGGGGAAATATCTGTGAAATTTATTTCAAAAATTCATTTAGCAAAATATAAATAACTAGCTGGGCATGGTGGTATGTGCCTGTAGTCCCAGCTACTTGGGAGGCTGAGGTGGGAGGATCGCTTGAGCCCAGGAGTTTCAGGCTATGGTGAGCTACAACTGTACTACTGCACTCCAGGCTGGGTGACAGAGTGAGAGTTTGTCTCTAAAATAAATAAATAAGTAACAACGAAAACTTTTATATTTTGGGGTTTAGTTTTTAGGAAAAATGAGGCACATTACAATAAAATAAACTGGTGGGATTTATTCAACATCTCAATATCTAAGGTATGGCCTGAGGTCTTAGTGATGGACTCCACTATTTCTTTAAAAATTAATCAATTAATACAGTAAAATAAATTAAAGCAAATTTTTCTTAAACATGTAAGACAAACTTAGATCCAGATTGGGTGCTCTAGGGGGCTGTTTCCTGCATGGTTTCTCTCCTCCGTCATTATCCACAGGACTCTGAGAAGTTGTAGGAATATGCATGTGCAGAGTTGAGGTCCAGCTTCATCTCCAATGTCATGGAAAAGGACAGTACATCATGGGGACAGAGCCCTGTGCTCCCCTATGCTACTTGGACACAGCCTGGGGAGAGAGTGACCTCCTGGGTGTATCCACATTGGAGACTCCACTCTTTTTGCGTGACTTGACCTTCATACTGATGACCCCAAGACACTATACACCAAGGCCAAATAATCTAATTAGTAATAAGAGCAGGGCGTTTAGAGTGATTTTAAAATAAGTATTGAGAGGAAGAAGGATCACCAGTTAACATGCAGTCAACATTCTAATGCAATCTGATATGGCTGTCCATCATGTGGCAGAGAGATGCGGGGGCCAATGAAACAGCTAGGCTACCTTCTCCTCTTGTCCACGGTGCTGTGAATTTAAGCAGCAGTAATAGACTGATGGCAGTGGAGGCCTCCACCTGTGAAGATCAGTGTGCTTCTAATGGCTATGTCTGAAAATCAAGGGATTCTGGACTCCTTGTGACATCTATGCAAAATCTGGGCTAGAATATACATCCTGCCCAGACATACTGATGCCAGCCTTCAGAGAGATTTTACTACAATTAGTACATGGAGACTCATATTCAGTAGGTTCTAATGAGATGCTTAAATTAAAAAAAAAACTGTAAAGTTTACCTTCTTTTAGAAAGGGTACTTGATCGGATACATAAAGGAAAATGAAGTAATGGGTGGGTGGTCCTGATTGTTTTATCTTCCCAATCCTTAGCCGGGGAATATTCTTTTTCTACCAAATGTGTATTCAGTGGTCCTTACCTATGCTTTCTTCTCAGGGACATAAAAGCAGAATATTGCCATTTCATGGATTACAGAAGTAGCCTCCTAACAGGTTTCCTGGTTCCCCTCTCCAATTCATTTTCCACATCACATGCAAAGAGATTCTGCTAAAACAAAAGCTGGAGCATGCCCTCTCAATGGCTGCTCCTGTCTTCTGGATAAAGCTCCAAGCCCTTGATGCTTCTTGCAATGGTCTTGCATGCTCTGGCCCCATTATGGTTTCCCTTGGTCTCAGCTCTTTTCATTGGAATGGACTTCTTTCTGATCCTGCACTGTTCCCTTTGCCTTAGGCCAGCTACATCTGCTGTTCCCTGTGACTTGAACCCCTTCCTATGATTTCTAAGAGTTCTCATTCCTACTCACACATCTCTTATATTGACTTAAGATTCACATCCTCTGGAAACGATACGCAGTGAAGCTAAGACCCTGTTTTATATTATTAGTAGGCCATCTCTTGGACCAGCAGTTATAAATCAAAGACCACTGGTAGTGTAAGTACTTTGAAAAGAGATTTAGGATTATATATGTAGACAATCTGAAGCAATTATCAAAGCTAGGTTGGCTTCGTAATATTTTCTGACAGAATCATCTCTTTGGCACTGGATACTCTATGCAGCAAAAATATCCATCACATCCAAAGCTGCCTCTGCGTGCTTCAGAGCTTTCAAGAATAATTTCAAAATCCTTTCAGTCAGGCAAATTTTTACACTGAGTACTTTTTATTTGGTTTTAAAACCTAATGATCTATACGTTGCTGAACAGTTTGTTCTACCCTCTCTACTCTTTCATATTAAATTGAATTAAATAAACAAGACACATCAATGAAAAATCCAAATGTCAAAATGGCTGATTTTTAGCTCCCTTTGGCTAGAAAATATCAGTCCATGGACTCCTTCCAGGCGTGCATTGCCAGGGCATTCTGTACTGAAGCAGTGAGAAGTCTTCAAATCCATCTACAAAACACTCCAGAAAGCATCTCTTAACTGAGGATGTACAGAAAGACAGTACAAACTAAAGCATGTGTGTAAAGATCGGGCTCAGAAATCCTTTTAAAATCTAGAAGTCTAAGTGCTCATATTCCAAGCACGAAGGTGTTCATCTGAATTATCCCCTACTGGTCAATGGGCAGAACTGTTGCAGGGAGGTCAGCGGGCACACACTGAGGAGATGGGAACTGGGAACTTGCATTTGTGCCTGAACCTGAGCCATGCCTGAGAAAACCTGGACAGCACTCTTTTGGGGTCACGGACTTTTCCTGATGATTTACTCCTTTGAAGACAGTTCTGCTTGTGGCTAATGCTGAGGAATTAGAGGCTTACATGAAATGTATTCCAGGAGGATTTTTTCCCTAACATTTTGTTATGAAAATCTTTTCACATATAGAAGAGTTGAAATCATTTTACAGTGGACACCCATATACCTACCACATAGATTCCACCCGTAGCATTTCACCATACTTGCTTTAGCATATGTCTATATCATTTATCCTTTTGGGTGCATTTCAAAGGAAGTTACAGGCATCAATAAGAATACTTTATTATATGTGTTATTAACTAGGATTCATGAGGATTAAGAAGGGGGCTCTGCAACAGAAGCATGATTCTCTTTCTAGAACATTAATTCCACTGGGCCTAGGAATTCCCTGGGTGTCCCCTAAGGGAATCTATTCAGGACAAAGCCACGCATTTCATCTCTTCCTAAAGAACTACTTATACATACATCAGGGAAGAATATAAAAGGTGTTTTTTCTCCCCACTCCCCATACAATCTTGTCCATCAACATTATCAAATAGGTTGGCAGGGCTCCCTAGAGTGCTTTGTCATGACACCACTCATTTCATAGGTAGAGAAGACACAATCCTAGTTCTGCAGAAATTCTCAATAGCTCCTATTCTGATAGAGAATGACTTAATGAAGTTCTTGCATGTATTTAAGCCTGTCCCAATAAGAGATAATGTACTCTTATTAGTGAGCTCATCCTCAAGAGATGAGAAGAGATGGTTGTAATGAGAGCAGCTTGTGTCTGGATTGGCTTGGGTCTCACTGCAAAATAATTTTCCATTGTCTTAGGCATTCGCCTAAGAGAATGTTTAAAAAAAAGGAAGATAATTGGCATTGCTGTCAAGAGACTAACTGAATTTCCTTGTTTCATATTGTCAAACTTTTGAGAGGACTTAATTTGCCTTTTACAATGGGGAAGATGGTGAATTACAGAGAGAAGTGAGCTTTTGAGAGTATCCTAAAAAACCTGCAAAGACACTGAGAAAGCTGAGGGTTTGATGGAGCCTTTGGATACATGTTAAAGGCTATTGCCAACGTTTCCAGAGCTTTCAACCCATCCACCATCACACCCCCCAATGCAGGATATCCCACAGCCATCAAATCTGGGCATGAATTCTAGATACACTTTCCCTTCTCCTTATTGACTTCATTTTCCAAATCTATACAGAATATTTTTTATGACGGTAATGTGTGATACTACTCCTTTCCTCCCTTTAGCTCAAGAGTTAACAAACTTTTCTTAAAGAGCCAGGGAGTACATATTTTAGACTTTGCAGACTATAAAGTCTCTGTCACAACTACTCAATGCAGCTGTTGTAGTGTGAACACATAGACAATGCATAACAGAATGCACATGGCTGTGCTCAATAGAAATTTTGAGGACATTAGAATTTGAATCTCAAATGATTTTCATGTGCTCTAAAATATTCTTCTTCGTTTGATTATTTTTCAATCCGTTCAAAATGTCAAAATCATTCTTAGTGCACTGGCTGTGCAAACAGAGGCACTGGCCTGGATTTGAACCCTGTTCTTGTTTGGCACTATTCAATAGAACTGTCCGTAATTGTGGAAAAGTTGCATATTGGCACTGTCCAATACCACAGCCACTAGCTACATGGGAACACTGAGCACATGAAATGTGCTAGTGTGACTGAGAAACTGAATTTTAAATTTTATTCAATTTTTCAATAATTTATATTTAAATAGCCCTGTATGGCTAGTGTTTACCACCTTGGACAGTACAGCTCCATAATTTTCTTTCCTATTAACTTGAAAAAATGGTCTTATCTCTTGCCTACATTAAAATGGACCCCTAAATCCTTTCCTTTGCTGCTTAAGTTATATAGCCATAACTCTGGGGAGACAACAGTTGATGTCTTGATTTTATATATTACATCGCGAACACAGGGAAACACACATAGCAAATGCAAATACCTATACTGCACATGTGCATATGATCCTGATATAGCTCTTCATTGGAATTCCATCACTTCCAAATTCAGTGAACAAATAATCATGGGGAAAAATGCCTACCACTTAGTAAGGATAGTTCCCTCCTATTCAATGTCTATTACAAAAAATGCAGCATTGGATAATGAAAACTATCATATAGTATAAACTTAAACTTTTATGGTGGTTTCCTTAATTACTTGTTACAAAATCCTATACCTCCTTTAGACAGCTTGAAATAATGAACTTGCAAAACTGACCTAAGAGATGTCATCTGAAATACGCAAAGTGATAATTTCCAAGTAAATGACAGTACATAAACTCTAGGTCATCTTAAATCAAATCTCAGCACTTCATGCTGAGCTCACAGGTCAAGGCCAGAGAAGCCAACCACTGAAACACAGACGCATAAAATCACTATTATTTAAATGACTTTGGTAACAACCATTTAGCATACCTGTGAAGTCTTATTCATTATAAAATGATGCGATTATATTTTTCATCTTGATTAAACCCATTTAGAGTGAAACTTCTATCATCATTGGCAAAGATGATTTAGGGTTAACTGAGGAAATTCTAGAGTGAGAGATGAGTGAGAGTTTTCTGTCATGGGTAACACAAAACAATAGAGAAGAAGTTTAAGTTAATGGTGAGAAAATAAACACTTGCCCTTACAATCCTAGTGCTGAGTTTAGAATAATCCTAGGCCTAGTTGCTCCTTGAAAACTCTCCATGGCTCCATCTGAGGCCTTCTTTTCTTTTCTTTTTTTTTTTTTTTGAGACGGAGTCTCGCTCTGTTGCCCAGGCTGGAGTGCAGTGGCGCGATCTCCTGCTCACTGCAAGCTCTGCCTCCCGGGTTCATGCCATTCTCCTGCCTCAGCCTCTCGAGTAGCTGGGACTACAGGCGCCTGCCACCACGCCCACCTAATTTTTTATATTTTTAGTAGAGACGGGGTTTCACCATGTTAGCCAGGATGGTCTCGATCTCCTGACCTCGTGATCCACCCGCCTCGGCCTCCCAAAGTGCTGGGATTACAGATGTGAGCTGCTGCGCCTGGTGAGGCCTTCTTTTCTTTGTCATGCTATATTCTCTCCACTTTCCTTCCATTTTATGTATGACTCACAAATCTTTTATCTCCAGCTAAGACTTCTCTTCTCAATTCCAAAGTGGTACATTTCACCATCCACATGACTTCTCTAGATGCCTGAAAACATCTCAGTCATACTATGTCCAACGTTGCTGTCATGGCTCCCTCCCCCTCATTCCCAGTTTGGCAGTTTGACACCTAGCCCAGGAATGGGAGTCAAAATCCACTCAGTTGCACAAACCACATGTCTAGGCAATTCCTTGACTCCTCCCTTTCCCTGTATCCTACAGCCAATCCGGCTCCAGGCCCTGTTTCTCACATCCTTCTACCTCTGTCCATCACCACTGTCATAAACCGACTCCACACTGCCAGAGTCTCTTGCCTGCACTAACATAATATCCCTAGCTAATCTTTTGCAACCCGCTTGCCCCTTCTACCCTTTAATTTGCTCCCCACATTAATCAATAAAAATATTTTCAAAGTCTAAATCTGATCATATCACTACCTTCAGCCAGCCTTAAGTCTTATTAGGATAAAAGCCAAAATTGTTAATGCAGCAGCCAAGGCTTTATGGGTTTCATTTCTGTCTACCTTTCTGGCTCCATTGTATATTCTTTTCCTGATGCTCTGTGGTCTATCTACCATGACTCTTCAGTTCCTTGCACACACCATGGTCCCTCCTATCACAGGGACTTTGCGTGTATTATTCTCCGTATCTGAAAGGGTTTCTCTTCATCCACACACTCTTTCTCACTCTACCAGACCTTATACCATTTACCTAGTTAATTCCTACTCAGCCTTTGGCTCTTAGTTCAAATATCACTTGCTCCAAGATGTTCTGCCTGATCTTCGATCCCCTATACCTACCTTGCTCAGACCAGTCTGGGTTTTCCTGGCACCATGCTCCTTTCTTTCAGATAACTTGTCTGGGTTTGTAGCTAGACAATTAGTTCAGGAGATCATTTGTTTATTGGTTCCTTCTCTCCTTTTTTGGGGGGGTAAATTTCACTGGAGCAGGGACAATGTCTACTTTTTACAAAGTATGGTTTCTCCAGAACTTGGTCACTGGCATATTGAATACATTCAAAAAACGTGTGAATGAATAAAATGAGTACAATGAGGACCTGGGGATAGTGTAGGTGAGTCTATGGTGGCATCTGGGGATGGGAAGAGATATAATGCCAACCTTCCTTGCAAGCCCAAGCTACTCCAATGATGCTTCACCTCTGTGGCCAGTGTTGACCCATGAACTCAATATCCAGACATCAACCAATATCCAGGATGTTATGGGGTGTGTGTTATGATTGGCTTACTAATTTTTCCTCCCTTACTCCAAGTTACCTTTTTATTCTTATTCTCAATTTTCCCCTTATCTCATATTCCCCAATTATTTTTTATGGATTTTTATCTTTCAGTGATGCATGCATTATTATTATTTGGTTCCTTCTGAGACCAAAACTACCTTTTAATAAATAACACTTATAATTATAATTTATGAATCCCAGTCCTCATTGTACTGCTAAGCCTCGAAAATCCAAGCTGAAATCCAATTCTGGTGGCCAGAATACAGTAGCCAGCTGGATATGCAAGCCTCATCATCTCAGTAGCATTATTCTTGTTTTGCCCTTAAGGCTACTTGCAGTTTCTATCACACACTCTTTCTCATCCACTTCCTGCCATTCCTGAGTTCTCCTGAATTTCTCCTGCCACAAAATATGGATTAATAAAGCAGAAACAGGGCCCATTCAAATTCTAGCATCCAATGAAAATAAAAGACAGAGAAAGCATGCAGCCAGCATTTTAAACCTGTCCTTTAATATCTCAGGATTTACCATGAAAATATTTTTCTGAGAACAGGTTCTGGGGTCTATGCTTAGTGTATCCACCCTTTTTCCCAATGTCCCCTTTCCAGAGATATATTTGTATCCAGCTGACATTGATTCATGCAGCCAGATGGCAAAGGACAGAGCCGGACCACTCTAGGCAATGTGTGTCCTACTTACAGGCCCAACAATCTGCAGTCTAATAGTAAATAAAGGTATTGAGCTTTTAAGTTTCAAAAAACGCAATTTTGTTTGTTGGTTATCCTACATGTAGCATGGACAGTCTGAATGCTGGATGTGTCAATTCCAACAAGCAAGGAGATAAGATGTTAAACTGATTCCCCAAGGCGGGATAGAGAGAAGTATAGTGGGTGTCATTGCCAACCCTGTGAGATGCTGACAAACCCACCGAGAACCAGGAGTAAATGTTAAGGAACCTAAGGAACAAAATTATCACTGGCAGACAATTGTAATGACCTTGTGATATGGTGGAAAGTGTCCCAGGGTATTTAGAATGTGTAAGATCTTCAAGGGCCTTCTGAACTATCTGAAAGAGATGGTAGAGGCATTCCTGTGTAGAAGGCGTTAGTGCTGAGAGCTTGTTCCCTGATGGAAACAGGATATAAATCAAAGGGATATAAATTGAATCAGAGCATTCCATAGAAACAAAGATGCCACTAGGGAATATGCTCTCACATCAAGACATATTAGTTCAGAATGGCCTTGTTCAAAAATGGCCACAGGTATGTCAAATCAAATATCAATAGTTGAATATGGTATAAAACTGGGTAAAGTGTACACGAATTGATTAGCAACCTAATATAATACAGTTGTCCCTAGGCATCCATGGGGGATTGGTTCCAGGACCCTCTTTGGATGCCAAAATCCACGGATGCACAAGTTCCTTATTTAAAGTGGTGCAGGCAGGGGTGGTGGCTCTGGCGGGGCATGATGGCTCAGGCCTGTAATCCTAGCACTTTGGGAGGCTGAGGCAGGCAGATCACCTGAGGTCAGGAGTTTCAGACTAGCCTGGCCAACATGGTGAAACCCCATCTGTACTAAAAACACGAAAATTAGCTGGGCGCAGTGGCGCATGCCTGTAATCTCAGCTACCAGGGAGGCTGAGGCAGGAGAATCACTGGAACACAGGAGGCGAAGACTGCAGTGAGCCTAGATTGCGTCACTGTACTCCAGCCCGGGTGACAGAGCAAGACTCTGTCTCAAAAAACAAAAAACAAAAAAGGGGTGTAGTATTTGCATATGCCCGTTGCACATCCACTTATACACTGTGAATCATCTCTAGGCTAGTTATAATACCTAACTCAATGTAAATTTAGGGAATAATGATAATACCTAACTCAATGATTTAGGGAATAACGACAAGGACAAAAATCTATACACGTTCAGTACAGACACCGTTTTTTCCCCCAAATATTTCTGATCTGCAGTTGGTTGAGTCCATGGATGTGGAACCCATGGATACAAAGGGCTGACTGAGCTGTAACAGGGAACTTTATAGAGATATCTCTGTTCTCTTCTACTCACATCTTAATTTTATTGCAACAGATCAAAGGTAGAAATATCATTTCATTAGTCAGTCTTGGAACTCAGAGGGGTCTTCCCAGCTGGGGTTTTCAATGACATATCTGAGGAAGCGTTTAGGAAGATGAGGGACTATTGTTTAACCAACTAATCCAGGGACTTGTGTTTTGCTGCTTTTTAGTTTTTCTTTCTCGTGGAAACTCTGGCATTGGTGCAATGACTAGCTTTGTGTCCTAAAGCTCCCCTTACCTCTGATAGTCTCATCCTTTAATCTCCACACTGGCTTTAGGTATCACTATAGAATTATTGAAGAAAAATGCCCAGAATCCTACCCACAGTATTTTGGCAACTTAGCTTCCAGATCATTTGGTTCCTGATTTTACTCTGATCTTCTTAGGCACCTGGAGGCCTGTCCATTCCCAGCACAGGGTTCCTGGCTACCTTCCTGTTCACTCTGTATTCTTAGTATGCAGCGCAGTGCCTGACACATACTAAATGCTTAATAAATATCTTTTGGATGAATATTTAAAGTGAATGGGTCTGAACTTTACTGTTTCCCCAATTTAAAAAATAAGAATATATATGCAACCTTCTATTGCCCAACTATTTAGTCTGCAAAATATTAACTCATTCTATAAAGTTGTTGAATATCTCCTCTATGCCAGGTGCTTGGAGAAATAACAGAGACGCGGCCCCTGTGTGGGGACGAAACAAGTTATAAACAAGTAATCACAAGAATAAGATATTTTCAGAATGATGGTGCCACACATTAAAAGAAAAAAAAAAGGAAAAAAGATAGAAACTACTCTGCCATTTGAGAAAGTCTCTCTGCAAAGAAACATTTGAACCAAGAACTGCAGAAAAAGGTACCAGTGTGGAGATATCTGGAGGAATTGTGGCCTAGCAGCAGAAACAGGAGAAGCATGGTTCCATCTGGGGACAGACAAAGAGCTGGAACAGTGGAAGTATAGTGCACACTGCGAGGGGGCGGGTGGAGAGGGATACAGCGCCAGGCTGTGTAGACGCCTACTGAGAAGGTAGGACTTGACACCTTCTGACAAACCCACAGAGCGGGGTAGTGGCTTTATCTGAATGACTTGAATGTCCACTTTTTATATGTAATTACTGTTAATCAGTTTAACATAATAAAAAATTTGAATGATGCTGACATGCGAAAATATCCCATCTGTCAAAATTATTCTTACAGTAAACTGATATATCATAACTACTCTCCTCCCTCCATTTTTAAAAGTGTCATTTAAATATATATATATATATATATATATATATATATATATATATATATATATATATATATACATATTTTTTTTTTTTTTTTTTTTGAGACGGAATCTTGCTCTGTTGCCCAGGCTGGAGTGCAGAGGCGTGATCTCAGCTTGCCACAACCTCCGCCTCCCAGGTTCAAGCAATTCTCCTGCCTCAGCCTCCTGAGTAGCTGGGATACAGACGCAGGCCACCATGTCTGGCTAATTTTTATATTTTTAGTAGAGATGTGGTTTCACCATTTTGGCCAGGCTGGTCTCGAACTCCTGACCTCGTGATCCACCCACCTCAGCCTCCCAAAGTGCTGGGTTTACAGGCATGAGCCACCGCACCCGGCCTTAAATATATTTTTTAACTAAAAAAATTTTTCTTTTACCTCTACTCAAGATAGCTTTGATCTCTTCAATATTGAGTACATATAAAAGAGGGTAAAATAGTCATAAGATATAAAGAACATTGAAGCATAAACACCTACTGACTAGTTTATAAAATCCTCTCTCCTTCCCTGACTCCTCAGAGGTAATGAGAGTCTTGAATTTTTTGGTTTTATTGTTCTCATACTTTAAAAAATTGATTGGTATCATATTTGTATACTAAAATATTGATTCATTTTGCATGCTTTTAAACTTATTGGATTGAATCATACTGTATATATTTTCCTCCCACTTGTTTTTTTAACTAAATATTTTGATGATGAAATTTATCCAAGTTGTTATGTGTAGCTACAAGTCATATTTATTTAGTTGTTGTGTAATATTCTTTTGTAGGAATATATTAACATTGCTTTATTCTACTATTATAGGTGGGTTATTTTTCATTTCTTTTTCTAGTACAGAGAGTGTTGCTATGAACACTCTGGCACAACGCTCCTGATACACATATGCTACAATTTCTCTAGGGAGTTTCTACCTTGATGAGGAATTTCTGGTTATAGGACTGTACACCTTCAACTTAACTAGATAATCTCAAATTGTTTTTCAGAGTGTTTGCACCAGTTTTTACTCCCACCTGCAGTTTACAGTTGTCCCAGATGCACCATATCCTTGCAAATCACTTGATATTGTTAGACTTAAAAAATTTGCCTGTCTGAAGGCATAAAATAATATAACACTGTGGTTTCAATGTGCATTTCTTTGATTACTAATGAGCTTGAGCCTATTTATATGTTGCCAATCGTTTGTGTTTTTCCATATTAGAAGCACCTGTTTGAGTTTTTCCACATTTTTCTACTGTTTGTCTTTCACTTAATCTGTAGGAATTTCATATATAATAATATAATACTATGTTATAATATATTACTATAATATAGAGTATATATAATACTATATAATACAGTTGACTCTGTATCCATGGGTTCTCTGTATCTGCTGGTTGAATTCGTATCCACCTATTCACCCAATTGTAACTCAAAAAATTTTGAAAAAAAAAAACATAAATAAAACATAATACAAATTATAACCAATACAGTGTAACAAGTATTTATATGGCATTTTAGGTAGTATAAGTAATCTGGAGAGGATTTAATATATATAGGAGGATGAATAGGTTTTACTATATATAATATATATTTATAATACATATAAATAAACCACAGTGTTACACTATTTTATACCTCTACACTGGCATATCTGAGGAAGTGTTTAGGAATATGAGGGACCATTATTTAACCAACTAAACCAGGGATTCATGTTTTGCTACTTTTTATTTTTAAGTCTAATGATATTAAGTAATTTTCAAGGATATGGTGCATCTGGGACAACTGTAAACTGTTGGTGGAAGTAAAAATTGGTGCAAACCCTCTGGAAATCAATTTGAGACTATCTACACCATTTTGTGTCAGGTGCTCAGCATCTGCAGGTTTTGGTATCTGGGCGGGGTGGGTCCTAGAACAAATCCCTCATGGTTAGCAAAGGATGATGTATAACACTAATTTTTGATTAAGTTTTAAGTGTAGGAGTTATCTGTCTTTTTACTCTCTTCAAAGTGTCTTTTGATGAACAGAATATCTTACCTTCAATTTAGCCCAAATTATCAATCTTTCTGTTAAATTTTGTTCTTTTTCTATATTGGTAAAGAAAAACCTTCCTTTTCCCAAATGCACAAAGGTATTCTACATAATATTCTAAAGATTTATAGTTTTATATTTCATATTTAATTCTTGAAACCACATAGATAGGATTTTTGTGTGTGAGGTGAGGTAGGAATCCAATTTAGTTTTTTTCCATATCAATAATAATAGTTCTTTCAATGTTTATTGAAAAGCCTGAGTTTCTCCACATGTCTCCAGTGCCATCTCTCTCATAAATCAAGTTCTCACATCAGTGTGCGCTTATTCATAGATCACATATTTGTGCCAATGTTAAAGCTGCCAGTATCCCACTAATATCTTAATTACTACATATTCAGAATGATTTTTGATATGTGATGAATCTTTATGTTCTGTCCCACTTCAGAAACATCTTGGTAATTCCTGGGCCATTGCTTTACCATAAAAATTTTGGAATCAGCTTGTCAAATTCTACAAATGTTGACTTTTTTTGGTACTGCATTTAATCTATAGATCAATTTGGGAGAACTTTTTTTTTTTTTTTTTTGAGACTGAGTCTCCCTCTGTCACCCAGGCTGGAGAGTGCAGTGGCACAATCTTGGCTCACTGCAGCCTCCGCCTCCTGGGTTCAAGCGATTCTACTGCCTCAGCCTCCCAAGTAGCTGGGATTACAAGCACATGCCACCACACCCAGCTAATTTTTGTATTTTTAGTAGAGACGGGGTTTCACCATGTTGGCCAGAACTTATTTTTATGCTATTGGCTCTTCCAATTCATAAGCATGTTATAATAGACCTTGTTTGATGTTATACCCAATAATAACTTTACTTGTTATGATGTTATATATTTTTTAAGTTATTCTAGCTGCCTGTTGCTTATATATGGAAATGAAATGGATTTTTATAAATTAATTTTATATTCAGCATATTTGCTAACTCATTAACTTATCTGTAGATTATTCTGAATAGTTATTCACATCATTTGCAAATATTTTTTCATTTAATATCTGAACATTGTATCTTTTATTTATTCTTCTTGTCTTACTGCATTGAACAGAAAGGGATAATAGTGGGCATCTTTTTGTCTGACTAGCATATGGAGATATGATTTCCTTTAGTGAAGATTTGCTGGTGGGAAACCCTCAGTCCTCACTGTATCCTTGCTCCCCATCTTTTGTCTTCCTGGGCTGTGCTAAAAATCTCTTTATTACTTTCATTGTTAAATGATACTTGTGTTTCTGGAACTTAAATATGATACTTATATTTAGATGTGGCATTGTTTAAAATACACTATGCTTGAGATTTCTTAATCTATGAATTTGTGAATCTATGAATTAATCCAGAATTAATTTTATTAATTCTGAAACATAACCTCTTCAGATAATCTCCTGTACCTATTTGCTCTCACCTCTTCTCATTCTATCCTTCGTGCCTCTTGATCTCTCTACCATATTTTCCATGTCTTTGATACTTTGCTGTATTCTTGCTAATTATATAGATCACTAAAAATTTACTAATTCTCTTTCTGTTGCTATAACTATGCATTGCATTTTAAATATATTTTTCACTTATAGAGAATCAATTTGTTTGTTTGCAAATGTGCTTCATCGCTTTTTTTAGTCAGTTGCTTTTTACTCATATTGTCAACCTTAAAAGTACTTGCTTAATATTCTGTTTCTCATAATTCCAAAATCTCAAGTTTTTGTAGGGGTCATTCTGCTGTCTGTTATTTTTGCTCTTTCTCACTCATGGACTTTCTTCGTATTCATTGTGATTGCTTTCATGTGGTGAATTTCCTGGAACTTTATCTGTAGTAATAGTTTAAGGTCTGGTTTAAAGATGGGTTCCTTTTTAAACAAACTGATTAATTATGTCAGGAGCCCAGAGGATTTCCAGGATGAGACAGATTTAAATTAAATCTCTTTGTTTTTTGGTATTCTGAAATTTTCCAGTTTGGAGCCTAAGCGTGGGTCATTTCTTTCTTGTTGCTGAGCACTCAGTTTGGCCCTTCAGTCTGGCCCTGAGTTTGTCAGGTGGGGTGAATTCAGGCTTCAAACCCCCCAGTGAGGACCAGCTTGCAATCATGAATTCTCAGGGAGAATTTTTTCCTCCTCTATTCTACACCAAGTTTCAATACCAAGTTCTACCAAGCTGACACTGATAGACACCTTCAAGATAAAGGACAGCTTGCATGCTCTGCTCACCTCTCTGGTACCTGCTTTCACTTGGACCTTGTCCTCTGAGCGTTCTCTACTTTTTTCCCATTCATTGATGCATTTAAACATATTTTAAAAAGTTATACAGAGTTTTCATTGGAAGCTCAGGTCTCTCTGTTTTGTTTTCTTGATATTTTGTTATCTTAGATTATATCAGCAACAGATGCGGCATTTTCTATGGCAGAGGGAAACAGGTGACTTCAGGATTGCTTCAGAATCACTGTAATTCTACTAAGAACCAATCAAGTTTGAAGGGCTCATTAACAGAAATGTGATGATATCAAGAAACTATAATGGCTCCTTTTAGCCTGAATTGGATTTCTTTTTAAAGCTAGAAATAGAAAGGGCACTTGAAAGAAGTGGTTCCAGATGAACAGTTAGAGGAAAGCTTAGAATTTCAAACAAGCTCTCATTTAAAACTAACTTTTATCACTAATGGATTATCTTGCATTAACATGAAGAATACTTTTAATCACCCAGATAATACATAATTACATTATTTCAGTAAACACATGCAAACAAACAATATGGATAGCTGCAAAGCACCCTTTGGCCACCTCCCTAATCCCAGTCCCCTCCCCCAGGTAAACCATGGTTTAAGTTTGGTATGTAGATGTCCAGAAATTCTCTGTTCATTCATATTCATATATATGCTTATAGAAAGAACAGAATTTGTTTTGCCTTTTAGAAAAATATATAGATGGTACAGTATTTTGTATGTCTGAACATGTTTTTGTTCTATTCTCTGGCTTGATAGTATGGCTTCAGAATTCCCCATTAAATTATTTTAGGACTTTGAATGCTTTGCTTTACTCTTCAAACTTTCATTTTCTGTAGAGATGCCTGATCTCATTCTGACTTTCAATTTGTGAGTGGTAGTTTTTGTTCTGGAAATGTTGAAAAAAATTCTTTTTGTTTTTGGTATTCCAAAATTTTCCAGTTTGGAGCCTAAGTGTGGGTCATTTCTTTCTTGTGGCTGGGCACTCAGTTTGGCCCTTCAGTCTGGTAATTAATATTCTTCAGTTGTGAAAATGTTTCTTATAATATTTCTTTGATAATTTACCTCCCTTGGTTTTCTCTTTCCAGTGTCCCTCTCAGATGGGATCCTGTGCTCTGGGCACTTAGCTGTATCTCCTGGTTTTTTCTGAAAGATCAGTTCCTTCCCATTTGTTTGCTTTTAATTATTTATTGCTCTCTTATACACTGGTATCTCATCTTTCATATTCTTTGCCACTGTTTTACTTTTCTCTTCACTACCATTTTATAAGATACCATTAAATATCACTTCCAGGAATCTTTGCCACAATCCTCCTTAGGAATATCTATAAACAGGTTATATGTGTTCTATTAATATATCTTATGGTTTCTGTTGTTTTGTTTCATATTATACATAATTAGATAGACAGATAGATATTATTGATGCTATAGAGGAAAACTATTGATTTTCAAATTTTAAACACTACATCTAGCCCCTAACTAAATTCTTCTCTATGTTTTCAATTGTTTTATGATCAGCAGATAATTTTTTAATAGTCAGATATTTCTAGATCTTTTGTTGTACTGTAACTCACTAAGATGCATTATGGTTGGGAGAAGAGAGTGGTCGGGTTTGAGGTCGGGAGTACAAAGCAAGGAGGCTGAAGATTAGACTTCTGACCTGGCCCTACCACTGCCTGTAAGTGGACCTCTTGGGCCTCTTTCCACGTCGGCTAAATGAAAGTGTCAGCTCCAATTGTGTCAACACCACCTCTTACCATCTATGTAATTTTGTGAAATTGTACACCTTAGGTTTGCCAGGGTTAGCAATGGCTCTTTCATCCCACCGTTGCAAGATGATAAATTTAACTTGCCCATGGCCCATCAACGCACTTTTGTGTGAGTAATAAAAATAGCAGAGCATGGCACTACAGTCTGAACACCAGATATTGCCAGAAGTCTGTCCAGTGGGAAAATCCTCTATTAAGGAAGAGAAGATAAATCTGAAGAACTGTCATTCCTGGACACTGGAGGTAATTAAAGCAAAGCCCTCAAGGTTATGTCATCAATTTTTCAATTAATATGCCTCCCTCCCCCTTTAATTGTGTATAAATTCATAACAGCTGAAAATGAATAAAGGAAGGAACCCAGAGAAAAGAAGACTGGAACAAACAATGAAGCAGTGCAGCGATGACCTGTTTACCTGACATCTGCACAGTAGAGAAGGGAAGCACATGATCCGAAATCAAAGCGGACTGGGGTTTTTAGATAATGGACATTACACCTGTATGGTTAGTGTGGATTGCTGTGCAGCAAGACACAATCAAGTCTGCTCATTGGGGAATCTGTTTGCTAAGAAAAGCAAAAAGACGGGAGACTAGATTTCTGGCCTGGCCCTACTCCTGCCTGTAAGTGGACCTCTCTGGGCCTCTTTCTACATCTGCTAAATGAAGGTGTCAGTCCAACTTATGTCAAAACCATAGCAATGGATTAACAAATGTAAGAGATTAGTAGTGCACATGATACAAAATGCAAAGAGAGTAAGAGGATATTTATGGGAACCCATCCTTCCTACCTGTTATTGTTTCATAATATAATTTCATGGACAATAAAAGTACCAACATAAGCTTCTTTAGTTTAGAGAACTGTACCAAAAGCAATGAGTAAACCTGCCTTTTAAATATGTTTACACACACACACACACACACACACACACACACATGCAAGTACATACCATAGGTGGATAGGTGGATGAAAGAATGGATGGATGGATGGATAAATGGATGGATGGATAGATGGAACACTACTTATAAATCCCTGTCCTCCAATTTTAAGAGAGAAAAGATGTTAAAAGGAAAGAACTATTTTCTACTCTACTCTTTGATAAGTGAGTGACTATTGTAATTTCAAGATTGGAAATCTAGGTGTTAAATTCATTCTCGAAATGTAATATTTAGGTTTCTCAACTAAATTAGCTTCAATCCTTAGACAGAATGTTCCAAAAGGCCAGAATCCTGTCAGAACAAGGATAGAAGCATAATGCCATCGACAAACACCACACACATCTATACTCTTCATCTTGGGCTGTTGTAAAATCTCACACAATACCTTTTTCACATTTACTTTTGCTAATAAGACTTAAATACTGAGGGACTGTAGATATACGAATGATCATGATAAAGCTCTGACCAATACATCTAAGAATATAATTAGGCACAAAATTTAAATAAAAAGAAAAAGTCATTTCTAAAACTCCCAGCTGAACCCCACTTCTGGTAGTCACATCAGGGCAGAGGAAAAACCTACAAATCACATAGAAAGCTTCATTCACACTGGACCCTTGCTGTGGCAGGCATTCACCTATGAATTCCGCTACAGGAAAAATCAATTGAAATACCACCAGAAAAGTCAAAAGCCAGTTTGTCTATTAGGAATATTTGATTTTATTCATTAATATTTATTTATTTATTTAAAACAGAATCTTGCTCTGTTGCCCTGGCTGTGCAGTGGTGTGATCATAATTCACTGCAGCCTGCAATTCCTGGGCTCAAGTGATCCTCCCGCCTCAGCCTCCTCAGTAGCTGGGACTACAGGCATGTGTTACCATGCCCAGCTAATTTTTTAAAATTTTTTTAGAGATAGGGTCTCACTATCTTGCCCAGGCTGATTTCGATTTCCTTGGCTCAAGTGATCCTCCCACTTCAGGCTCCCAAAGTGCTGGGATTATAGGTGTGAGCCACCGTGCCTGGCCCTCATTCATTTTTACAACAAATCCATCACCTCCCAATGTTTCTTTCTGCCCCTTTTATTATGATGGTTGGGTCTTCTTTGAGTGTGGTGAAATAGTTTACTTTAGAGCTGGTCTCAGTAAGATATTCTGAGATTTTAAGTATGAAACAGACATTTAAAAACAAAAAAACAGATTTCTGAATGTAACAGCAGAATTGAGTCTCTCTTTCAGCCATGAAATAGCAAACATTTTTTTCTTCAAAAAAATGTGAGTTTAAAGGCTTTGCCTAAAAATCTTGCCAAAGCTTTCCGCGAGTGAGTAGACTTGGTAGAGAAATGTATTAGAAAAACAGGAAAATGCAGGCTCCACCTAAGCCAGTGTGCCTTTTGTTCCATGTGACCTAATGTTCATGAGACTGTTTGTTATTCACCTCATTACAAACATCTATCTGTCACAGCAGGTGTTGGGTCAGGAGAGGACGCGGTGTCCAGGAAACCTGAAATCAGGTTAGAAACCTCCCAGGCGACCAATTCCCTTTCAATTGACTCCGAGTAGCTGGCACTGCCTACCACAGTCCCTGGGCTGCCTGCTCGGGAAATGGCTATAATTTAAGTCACAGCGGAAACACTTCTCAAACCACTCTCCCAGAGGGCGTAGGAGCCACACTTCCCATGACAGGAAGGGAAGCTGCCCTAGTCCTTCTAACTGTTAAAGGAAATAGACAATTTCCTTATGGTTTCTTCAACATTTCACTCCCCATAGGATTGGTTTTACACGTTTTTTTGCATGAGTCAGTCTCTTTGGGTAAAGTTGAAGCTTGTAAAGTTGTCCTTCCCATTTTCAGCTCTCCCAAATGGTGGGTAAATCTATTCAGGAAATCAGTGTGTCTTCCAAGGGGGAGAAAGGCACAGACTTAGACCTGCCAGGCTGCTCTCTGCATCCTCATAGGTCTGTGCTGTGAAATGGTTGGTCTAGATTTCTCCATGGACACAAGACTGCTGGCCATTTGGGGCGAGATGCCCCGGTAGAGTCTGGCCAAGTCCACTCATTACTTGAGTCCAGCGGACTTCAGTTATGAAGTCAACACCAGAGGGAGCCTCTTTGTCTTGTCCCAGCTTTCACCAGCCCCCGCTCACACCAGCCCCCGCTCACACCAGCCCCCGCTCACACCACCATTTCCCATCACCAGGACATGCAAGAGCTTTCGTGTCCCTTCTAAGACACACAAGATATGAGGTGTCATGAGCCTGCTCCAGAATCTTCCGGATTTTCGCCTGGAGGGTAGAAGTCAGAGAGGTACATACAAAGTCTCATTTCCTGCTCTATTCTCTCTCTCCCCTTCTTCTTCCAACGATTCCAAGGCCTGAGGAAGAAGGGGGCAGGCTTTTCTCTTTTTCTATGTCTTATCCTGAGTTCTGTCATCTTTGGGTATATAGCAAGCAAGGCTCTAGCCCCCCAGATCTGACTTCCATGTTAGAAGAAGTTAAAGGAATTTGAAAAATTTGAAAAAAAAATACCTTCCTCTCTTGTAATCCCTGTTTTACAAAATTTTTCACTTGCTAATGAGGATCTTCTCTTCTAGTGAGTCCCATTCTTTCCTCTCCTGGAGCTATGACTCGACCTTGCTGGTAAAAATCCTACAGGAAAATGTGCTTAAGTACATTACCCCTTAATGGGTAAGGAAATATATGAGTTTATTATGTGCAAAATATTTTCCCTGCTATAGGAGGCTGAGTAAATACTAATTACAGAAAGGCACATGTGAAGCCTCTTGGTCTGTAGACACCTCAGTGTAGCAGCCAGGCAGGCCTGTGGCTTTCTGTATCGGCTCTGACGATCATGATGTAAGTTGTGTAAGTATTGCTGTTCATGTACTCAACAGCAAAAGAAAACCTAACATTTAAACAAGGTCTACAGAAATCCTTTATTGTTATTGTTCTGAATAATATATGCTGTATACTCATTAACATATTGTTCCTCCATTGAATATTAATTTATCAGAGGGAAAAACCACTCTGCCAACCATTAATGTAGGTGAAATATCTTTTTCTTGTTCTTCCTTGGCAATGGGGTTGATCTGCACAACTCAATATAAAATCTGCTGATGGAAGTGCACAGGGCTATAGAAGCAACTCTTTCATTTGATTTAGTGTTTCATGATAAACTAGACCGAACCATGAATTAGAAGGATTCATTAATCTCTTCTCAAATGGATTTTCCCTCCTATTTCCTCCATTACTAGACCAGATCCCTGCTTCCCTTCGAGTCTAAACCTCCAAATGAGTGTTAGATAAGCTGTCTCCTGTTCCTGGTCTCCTGTTTAATCCACTCTTACCTGGTTCCCTTCCCCACCTTTTGGCTGATTCCTCATTAAGATCAAGGCCAATAATGACCTCCTGGATACTAAAACCAAAGAAGACTCTCCTGTAGCATTCACCAACTTTAGACACTGGGGATCATGCCCTTCATACTCATGCACTGCTTTTCCTCTGGGTTTGTTTGACACTCTTGGTTTTCCTCCTACCTCATAGGTGGTCCCTTTTTTGTTTCTCACTTGCTTTTTCTATCCTTCCAGACTATTTATTTATTTATTTTTGAGACAGGGTCTCAATCTGTTGTCCAGGCCAGAGGCCAGAGTGCAGTAGTGCGATCTTGGCTCACTGCGGCCTTGACCTCGCAGGTTCAAGCAATCCTCCCATCTCTCAGCCCCCCAAGTAGCTGGGACTACAAGCATGCACCACCACAGCTAGCTAATTTTTGTATTTTTTGTAGAGATAGGGTTTTGCCATGTTGCCCAGGCTGGTCTCAAACTCTTGGGCTCAAGTCATCTGCCTGACTCGCCCTCCCAAAGTGCTGGGATTATAAGCATGAGCCACCATGCCCGGCCTCTACCAGACGTTTTCAAGTTAAAAGTTATCCAGAACTACCTCCTGGGATCCCTTTTCCATTCTTTAGATATGCCAAGGATTTCATCCATTCTTATGCAATCTAAATTGACTGTAAATGGATTTTATCCATTCTCATTCAATCTAAATTCATGATTCTAAAATTTGGGGGCACATAAATTTCCCTTGGAGAAAGGGCGAAAACTGTAAATCATTTAACCTTTTCTGCTTGAATTCCTTCTTCTATACTCTCCCTCATACCAGCCTCCCAAAATGTTATGATGGTAAAATAAATCATAACTGAAGAGAGCTCTAATCAGAAAACACACGTACTATGGTGTACATCCGAAGTGAAAGGCCAGGGCAGGAAACTGTGAGCTCTCAAGAATTTTCCATGTAACCTTGGACACGTCGCTTTAACTTCCGGAGCCTTGAATTTTAAACCTCACAGGTGTGACATAATTGTAGTTTTAATAAAAGGTCGAATGTGAGTTCTGCCAGATGGTATTACATTTTCAAAGTCTGAGCAACTTTTTACTTGTTTGGGGATGGTGTGAAGGGGCAACATTGGAGAGAAATGTTTCCTACAGAAAATAACATTTAATCTGGAAACTGCTGTTTACCCCAGCATCTATTCTATTTCACTTACTGCTACATAAAACTTTTAGAGGAAAAAAAGTGGCCCCTGTAAAATGGAGTCAGGTGTTACGCTTAGTATTAGCTGTGAGCTAGTACTAGCAGCAGGAGGTATGTTACGTTACAGCTGAGGCAATTTTAGGTAGAAGACATTGCTGAGGGGGCTAGAAAAATGTTGTCAATGCTAGGTGTAAGTTTTAGGGGACTTTTCTGTTGTCCTTAAAACATTTTATACTGAGGGCCTGAAAGTTCATAGATCAACAGAGCAGTACAGGCTCTGTCTAATGGAGGAAACAGAAAAAAAAGCTTTAAAGAAGGTAATTTATTTCAGTAAAAAGTTTCATTTTGTTTTTAAAGGATGGGTAATAATGTTTCAACCATGGAAAGCTGCAACAGGAACTCCAGATAAATACTGGGAAAACCCTGTACCATGAAAGAGGGTAAGGTTTGTGCCAGTGGTATGCCGGTAAATGATTAATATACGGCTCTCCTGGAAAATGAAAGGGCCCAGTTTTAGAGATTGTTGATTTTCAATGGTGTAAATACTTGCCCAGAGCCAGTCTCAAAGTAACAAAGTCGTGACCTTGAATAAGGCGTTGGGAGGAGGTGTACAGTAGCAGACTGTCAGAGCCACCACTACCGATGGTGCGTAGTAGATGTAAAGATGCAAAGTACCTAGAGAGCACCAGCAATAGTGAGAGCACCGGCAATAGTGAGAGGTATTAAATTATTTGTAAGTGAGCCGGGCATGGTGGCTCATGCCTGTAATCCGAGCACTTTGGGAGGCTGAGGCGGGACGATCGCTTTGAGCTCAGGAGTTTAAGATCAGCCTGGGCAACATGGCAAAACTCCACCTCTACAAAACTAAAAATAAAAAAAAATCAGCCAAGTGTGGTGGTAAGCCTGTATTCTCAGCTACGTGGGAAGCTGATGTGGGAGGATCCATTGAACTGACCTCGGGAAATTGAGGCTGCAGTGAGCCATGATCGCTTCACTGCATTCCAGCCAGGAAACACAGTGAGACCCTGTCTTAAAAAAAATTTAAAAAGTGCTTCAACAAAGCTCTAGGAAAAAATTGGTAAATGATGAGTTATGAGTATTTGTTACATTTGTTTTGAATAAATTTATTTCATTGAAAGTTTATATAATTTAATTTGTAGTAATGGTTGTGTTGAATAACCAGGTCACAAAATCCCTGAAAAATTTTAAAATGGACTCTTATGAGCTTAGATAGTAAGCTCCAGCTCACCACTGGTTTGTCTTCAAAGAATAAAGGAAAATTAATATTTGCTTAAGCAATATTTAATTACATTCGAGTTCTGTGAGGTGGATACTTTGGTTTAGGTATTTTTTATACCTGTTACTATTCTAGAACCCTATGTTATCTATCACTATGCAAGTCAAAAGCAGTGATTAAAATCACCAGATGCTAGGTAAATAGATGATAGTTTTCTACAGAATTTGTGTGAGCTATGTGTGAG
Organism: Homo sapiens; assembly: GCF_000001405.40. NCBI lineage: Eukaryota > Metazoa > Chordata > Mammalia > Primates > Hominidae > Homo > Homo sapiens. Next base: position 8,808,566 of record NC_000020.11, on the reverse strand, counting down.
AGATATACTTCCTTTATGGACTGAATTGTGTCTACCCCAAATTCATATATCAAAGCCCTAACCCTCAATGTGATTATATTTGGAGACAGGATCTTTAATGAAGTAATTAAGGTTAAATGAGCTCCTATGAGTAGGTCCCTGATCTGATGGGGCTGGTGTCCTTATAAGAAAAGGAAGAAGTGCCAGCGTGTGCATGCGCTCTCTCTCTCTCTGTGCATGTGCATAGAAAGGCCATCTGAGGACATGGCAAAAAGCCACTGTCTGCAAACCCAGAGGAGAAGCCTCCCCAGAAACGAATCTCGCGGGCACCTTGATCTTAGACTTCCAGACTCCAGAATTGTGAAAAAATAAATTTCTGTTGCTGAAGCCACCCAGTCTGTGACATTTTGCTGTGGAAGCTGAGCAGAGTAACACAACATGCAAATGATGAAATTACATACAGTTCCACAAGATGCAAGTAACATGATACTCGCATCTCAGGCTTTTTCATATTGTCATGAGGAAGTCCTTCTTATCTGCTCCTCTAGGTCTCAGCTCAGTGACTGCCACCTCTGTGAAGCCTTCCTTGGTTTCCTCAATTATGTGTCAGCCTTTCCTCCCATGTAAACAGCTCTTTTATAATGATGAACATAGTCTTTTGTCCCAGTGCAATCCTTTTTGACACAACGGTGGATTACACATTAGAAACTAAGATTAAGCATGTGGCTGTTTATATTTATATTTAAATATAAACAGTTAAAATAAAATAAAAAATTCAACTCCTTAGTTGCATCAGCCACATTTCAAATGGTTAATAACTACTTGTGGCTAGTTGCTACTGCCCTGGACACTGAGACATGGAAAATTTCCATCACTGCAGAAAATTCTATTGGATAGCACTATACTATAATCAACTTGAAGGGGGGAAAAGGGTGCATCTGTGTTTTTTCCCAGCACCTAGCCCAGTGCCTGCTGTGTAGTAGGCATTTAATAACTATTGGTTGAATTAAAAGGAAAAAAAAAAAACACTATTCATTTAATTGTAGCTACTTAAAGCATTCACGGTTCCCAGATGTCACAGAAATAAGCACGCATATATACATTTATTTTACTATTGATAAGTAAAATACTAAATGTGAGCAATTTTCATTTTTTCCGTGACAAGAACATCAATATTCATCATTAAGATATAATTATAGAATTTATGTCTCAGGTGTTAATATAGCAATCTATAGCTGTTAATTCAGAAGCACAATATCGATTCTAATTTATTTTTTTCTAGGTCATCTCTGCACCATCGTTCTATAAGTGACCCTGTGGTCTCATTAAATCTTTCAGCATGATATTTATGCAACTACTTAATGAGTCCTCCAACACCTTGAATTCTCTGGATCTCATAACTATTATTTCAGTGACAAACTTCCGACTTTAATTAATCGCATCCTTCACGGACTCAAAAGAGATCATAAAAAGGTCACTCAGACATACGCAACCCTCTGCTGGTAGACGCCTTCTTTGTCTCCGCATTTAAAGATCTTCAAAGAGACACACAACAGCCCTCGGGAATCTATTTAGGTATTTAGATATTTTTACTTTCAGAAAAATCTCTTTACTCCTGCTTAAGTCTTTCATAATTTAGCCCAAAGCAGTCGCCCTGAATCTAACTGCAGAGGAAAAGGAGAAGACGGTCACCTGTCACAGGTTCCAAAGAAGCCCTTTTCTGTGCTGTGACTGAAACTTAAGGTACAATCTAAACGGAGACGTTTCTCTAGCAAGATATTCCTTTAGAATGCCTAGCATCCTGAGGGTAAGTAGTAGGGCTTCATAAATATTTAAATGAATAAATGAAATCCAAATAAAAAACAATTGCTTAACAAATGAAAGCAGACCCGTTGCAAAGCCCAACGTGTACTCTAACTCCTCTCTTGTATAGTACAGAAGAAGGGTTAGTTAACAAGGATTCTGTTCTAAGGCTGGGGCAAGAGACAGACTTAAGAGGAGGAATGGGAAGAGGAGAGAGAGAAAGAAGACCTCAGGGGAAGCAAACCCACTGAGTCTGTTGTTGAAACAGCATTGACATGTATAAGCCGAATGGCTTGCAAGTAGAGGAGATGAGAGGAAGGAGGAAAGCCAAAGTTGGAAGGAGGTGAGAGTGGGTGAGCCCTTCCTCAATCCTGCTGCTTTAGAGAGGGGAACTATGAGTTTTCAGCAGCCATAGACAGGGAAGGTTGACTCAAAATTATCTTAACCCAACTGTGCAGGCCACACTGTGCCTCAGGTGTCTCCCTTTCCTTCTGCTTGGCATTGCTTCCCCAGCAGATGCGATGAACACGGAAAACAGCTGCCCACCTCTCAGTGACAGAAACTGTGACTAATTGTGGTTTCCTAGAGGTGAGTCCTGTTTTCACAGAGCTGGAGGTTTTCTAAAATCTAGTCCTCAGAGATGTTCTTCTCCCAGAAGTTTGCTAAAAACAAGTGACTTTGAGCAATGTGAACGTGCTGCCTGTGATGTTTAATGCCTTGTGCTGTTGTGATCAGTTTGGGGGTGAAATCTCTGGCACAATTTAGCCACGATCTTGTGGAGGCTGGGCTATGCCACCAGCAAATGAAACAGTGTTTGGTATACATGTGTGGTGTGTATCCCTTCTAGCCACTCAAAGAGATATGCTTCTTTAACAAAGAGGCTCGTCGTCTTTCCATTTTACAGATAAGTATATTGAGGCACAGGTGTTGTACCCTTATTGCTTGTTTATCCATGTCAACATAAGAAAGAGAAGTCACCTACTTTGACATCTAGATCATAAAATCTTAGCTTCAGACATATACTTAGAAAGCTGAAGGACACATGGTGTGTCCAAGGTCTGGTACTTCTTGTCTGACCTTAGTAAAGTTCATTAACCTTTTTGAACCTTAGTTTCTCCAAATGTACAGTGGTAAGAATAAGAAGATAACACATGTTATGTGCTTTAAAGGTGTTTGATGATGCAGTAAGTGCTCCATAAATGCTAATTTTTGTTTTTAGTATTATGTGTCAGAAAAATATTTTGATGCCTTTCTACGGCCTTAAACTGACCTTTATTATTTCAAAGCATGTAGGAACTATGTTTTCTGTTCTTTTGTGTTTTCTATTGAAATTGGCATATCCTAGAATAAAGCAGGCATTAATAATTACTTGGCATATATTTATAATTTTCTAATGTTTCATTGGTGTTTTTAGAAATTGGTCATTCTACAGCTCTTTATCTAAAGACTTATGTATACATAAAATGAGCAAACATCTTTTTTGTTTATTTTATATCTCGCTCTACAGTGATTTGTAGCTATTTAAAAAATGGGTTACCACAGTTAAAAGTATAACTCACCTACTTAGCTTCACCTATTAAGGTCTAGCTGATAACAAGGAATATATTTTTTCACCAATGAAGATTTGCACTCACAAATTAAAAAATGTAAAATTCCAACTATTTATGTGATGACTACTCTTGGGGCCAATCTTCTATCATAATAGAAAACATTATCCTTTGGCAAACACATGACAGCTTTATACCTTTATGTGCTATTCCTTTTTTTTTTTTTTTTTTTTTTTGAGATGGAGTTTTGCTCTTGTTGCCCAGGCTGGAGTGCAATGGTGCAACCTTGGCTCACTGCAACATCACCTTCCGGGTTCAAGGGATTCTCCTATCTCATCTCAGCCTCAGCCTCCTGAGTAGCTGGGATTACAGACACCTGCCACCACGCCCGGCTAATTTTTTGTATTTTTAGTAGAGATGGGGTTTCACCATTTTGGTCAGGCTGGTCTCGAACTTCTGACCTCAGGTGATCCATCCACCTCGGCCTCCCAAAGTGCTGAGATTACAGGCATGAGCCACCATGCCCGGCCTTATGTACTATTACTTTTTATTCATCATTTTGTTTTCAGCTGTAGTGTATGAATGAAGATGTTTAAGGAAAGAACAAGAATGCAAAAAACATTTGGGGAAATATTAAAATTAGTACAAAAATCTTTTTTCCATACACTATTATAAAAGAACGTTTTGTTCTTTTTTCAAATATAAAATGCTATAATGGGATTTTCTTTTTCTGCTTTAGCCACGAGACCTATTTTGACATGAAAAGTGTGAAATATTTATTTTTATGTCATCTTTTATAGTGGAAAGCTAAAGGGACCAAACAAACTAACAATATGATTAAATGTTTGAAGTCTAGGTATTGTGGGGATATTTGTCTCTTTCTTAAAATAAATATTTTTCCCCAGTGGGTATCTCAGTTGACATTCTAAAGGGAATACAAGTTGTGAACACGCTATTACAAGCCTGAAAGAGCACAGCAACAAAAATGCAGCATTTTTGTCTCTATTGCATTTGTTTTGAAAAATAAAACCTAAGTCATGTGTTCTTAGCTCCTCCACCCACTGTCATTTGCATCCCCTGAGAAAATAAGATATTCTACTTGTGGTATTAGATGTTTCACAATAGCTTTAAAAACTACCAGGGCAGGCCAGGCACCGTGGCTCACACGTGTAATCCCAGCACTTTGGGAGCCTGAGGCAGGCGGATCACCTGAGGTCGGGAGTTAGAGGCCAGCCTGACCAATATGGAGAAATCCCATTTCTACTAAAAATACAAAATTAGCTGGGCGTAGTGGAGGGAGCCTGTAATCCCAGCTACTCGGGAGGCTGAGGCAGGAGAATCACTTGAACCCGGGAGGTGGAGGTTGTGGTGAGCTGAGATTGCGCCATTCCACTCCAGCCTGGGCAACAAGAGCGAAACAATGTCTCAAAAACAAACAAACAAACAAACAAACAAACAAAAAACACAAAACTACCAGGGCAGTAACAAGAGTAACAACAACAAAAAAATCGAATGGTGCTCATCACTGATGATTTAAAAGATAGTCTTAACATTTATATCCAAACGAAGAAGAAATTGTCAAGGTCTCCCTGATGCCTTCTTGTAGAAGCCAGAAATTGATATTATATGTCGGTCCTCTACTCACCTTCCAATATGGCCTTCATTACAAGGTAATACAGAAACAAAATGATCACTGTTGAGAGGACATGAACAGAATTCATAGCCATGTTGTGACTTTGTTCTGACATGGCATTCCCTGTGTCCCTCTTTCTAGTGTTACAGGCAGTAGAAAAAAAAAAAAAAAAATCAAAGGCCCAGGCTTGTGATTGGGTCAAAAAGTTAAAATACATTAAAATGCCATGACAGTTGCTTCAAGCTTCTTCCAGGTGCTTAAGCCTGGAGGTAGGAATGTACTACATCCTGGCCAGTTAAAATGTGCTCCCTGGAACTGTGGCAGCATCAACATCCCCTGGGAGCTACTTAGAAAGGCAGACTTTCCGGCCCCACTCAGACATCCTAGATAAGTGTCTGCAGTTTAACAGGATGTCCAAGTAATTCAGATACCCACAAAGGTCTGAAAAGCTCTGAGCCAGAGCAACAACTGATGTCGAGGAAGAGGAATAACTCATACCTCTTTCTCAGTAAAGAGTTATTTTCAGTAATTCTTTGACATGTTTTTAAACTGCATTATTTCACAGATGAACAAATACTTGAAGACAAAAACAGTACAAGTCTCACTGTAGAATTTTATTTTCATTACATTAGAATAAAGTTTGCTTTATTTATAATCACAAGAATGCTTCTTTTTTCTAAGAATTGCACACTCTTTGGAATGGCTTATGCTAGTTTTCTTATTAGTGAAGGGAATATAATAGTTTTCGTGATGCATCTCCTTGGGTAAGTTAAAGTCTGCTCTGATTTTCAAGCTGAAGTTTGCTCTGACAAAGAGCTCCTGGCCCAAGCATCCCTATTAGTGAGATATTTCCAAGAGCTCTTGCTTCTAGAGAATCAGGAAATCACAAGCTGTCCCCATTCACTCTAAATACCATGTGGGAATAAAGTAAATTTTGCTGGACTTCCAAAAGGAGGGCTGTGGTAAGTTGAGGGGAGTGGATTGAAACAGACTCCTTGAGAGTTAACTTGATCCCACTGGATTGTAAGATAATAGGACCACGGGAAAACAGTGTAGTGAGAAGCAGAAATGGAAAAAAAAATGTTTCCAAAGTGGGAATAATAGTCTGAGTGCAAGAGAGAAAATCCAGATTAAAAAGGAAGCCAAATTTGCCAATAGAGAAACAAAATGGAGAAAGAGGAAGAAGACAATATGGAAGAATGAGATTTATGTCAGGAAGAGAGAGCACAATGATGGAGAAATTAATACCAGAGGAAGGCAGAAAGGATGAGGAAATGATCATGGGTGTGGCTGGGAACTTTAGCAGAAAAAAAAGATGGGAATGTAGAGAAAGGGAGGATGAAGGACAAACGAGCAAGTCCGTGATGCCTGAAAACTGGATGGCTACACACCACCCTTCTCTCAAAAGCGACCCCTCCCATCCAGTCCTACCTGGCCGGAAGGACGGTGGTCACCACTTGAGAGCTTGAGGGTTGGGGGGAGTAAAGTTGGGGGAAACAGAGGGATCCTCATGGCAAGTTTCCGACAAGAATGAGGAGGAACCTTCCCCCTGTGTGGAAAAAAAGGGAGGCTGTCATTTTTGTGGCAATGAAATTGATTTCTAAGTCATCTGGTGTTTCCAATTATTTGTCTGGGACGTCTCTTGGAGTGCCTTCTAGAGTACAGTTTTAACTCCTCTGTTTGCCTTTATCTGCTCCAACACCCCCAGTGTGACAAGGCACCTGGCCTCCCACACATGCAATGGAATTGGCATTGAGTTCTCCTCGGCCTCCCCACTCTCTGTAAAAATTAGTTGTTAAAAATGATCACAGCTGTTACTTTTGAGATATTCTCCACAAAATCCCACTACCATCAAGAAACTTGAGAAAAGATAGTGATGAATGATTGACAGCTGTTTGTTCAGTGAACAACACAGTCCAAGGAGTCTGGGCTTAAGGGCACTACTTTTCTCCCCGCAAAGAGCCAGAACTATTTTTTAACATACAAAGTTAATGTTGTTAGCCCTCTACATACATCATGCATTCAAAAAATATTTATTGGACACCAGCTATATGGCAGGCGATGTTCTTGGATGTCTGGAACTCAAGAGCGTCAGGGAACGAAACAGACAAAGCCTCTTCCCGTTGTGGAGCTTATATTCTGATGGGTGGGGCAGTACTCAAGGACACACTTAGGAAAGAAGGGTATGACTGAATGAGAGAAGGTGACAAATGCTATGAAAAACAGAAAGCACAGCAGAATAAACAGGAGAGAGGATGGCAGGGATGGGAGAGTGGTGGAGGGGGGTTGTAAATTTTAATAAAGTGGTCATGGAAAGCCTCTGACAGATTTGAGCAAACATTTGAAAGACAGGAGAGAGTTGCCCAAACAGACACTTGGGAGATGAGGAAACAATGGCTCAAGGTGGGATTCGCCTGTCTTGTTGGGGCCTAGCAATGAGCCCAGTGTGGCCTGAGCAGAGAGTATATCAAGGAGGAAGGGAAGAAAAAATGCAGCAAAAGTGGAGTTAGACTGTATTGGACTTTTAGAGGATTATGGGAGCCATTGAAGGGTCTTCAACAGAGGAGTGACCTGATTTAACTTGTGTTCTAAAAGGATGCCTCTGGGTGACATGTTGAGAATAGATTTTGAGTGTGTACATGTGGCAGCAGGAAGACCAGTTTGGAGGCTACTTAGAAATCCAGGGGAGAGATGATGGAGGCTTTGACTAAAGTGATTGCACTGCAGTTGGTACTCAACAATTATAAAGATGTCTTGACTGCTTTACAATATTTTTTTCAAGTCCTAGGGTTTTTTGGTTCCACCTAAAACACAGACCCAATAAGAAACTTAAGAATTGTAACAGCTCACTGTGTATTTTGCAAAACCTAAGAGTAAGCTTTTTTCTTTTTTGGATAATACGAAAGGTGCAAAGAAAAAGGAAACAAATCTTTCTCAGCCAAAGATAGAAAACAATGTATTTTCTATTCTCTCTTATGTACCAAACACAGGCACATGCTGCTGGCTACTCTCTTTGACACAAATTTTTATATACTAGCATAATTAGATAGGGCGAAATCCATTTTGATGCCAAAATGGTTAATCTGCTAAGCTTCTCTCCAATTGTATAAAGTTGTTCGTGTGTCTGTATAAATGTGTTATTGTGTATATGTGTGTGTGTGTGTGACTCTTTAAAATCTGAAAATATTATTTGAGGAAATTCAAACACCTCCTTGACAAATCAAAGATTAACCTCAACTAATGATTATAATAAACACAGAACACTTGTGTCTGTTGATTTCTGTTGACAGAAAATGTATAAACAGCACTCCAAGTGGTGAATTTGCTGCATGAATATGGCCTTAGATATAATATAATACATGGAAAACAGAGACTGTAATGCTGTTCTTGGCAACTGCTTTCCTATTTGGAAGGAAAAATTTCTTCAGTGTTTTCTTCAGCCCAGTATGCCTGCATTTGCCCTCATGCAATAGCCTTTTCTCTCATCTCCAAGTACTTCTTCATCAAATATCTCAAAGCATCTAGTAGATTTCCTCTTTGGATTTTCTGTAGGTAAATACAGTCATCCCCTTCATATCCATGGGTTCCACATCTGTGGATTCAACCACTTTTGGATCAAAACTATTCAGAAGAACCATAAGTGGATGGTTGTGTCTGTACTGAACATGTATAGACATTTTTTCTTGACATGATTCCCTAAACAATACAGTATAACACTATTTACGTAGAACTTACATTGTAGTAGGTATTATAAATAACCTAGAAATGACAAAGTACATGGGAGAATATGCATAGATTATATGCAAATACTATACAATGTTATATAAAGGACCTGAGCATCTGTGGATTTGGGTATCTGAGGGGAGTCCTGGAACCAACCATCCATAGATACCAAGGGATGAGAGTATTTCTCTTGGTTTGAGGTTGGCCATCTTTTCCCTTTAAAATATTGAAGGTCATAGTTAAATCAGCTATTGGTTTCTAGAAAACAATTAAAATTTTACATTAGTTGCTTTAAAGTGGTTTGGATGTGTGTGTTTGATAATTTTCACTATCCTGGTTATATCAAAATAGGGCTTTAAAAAAAACAGAGATACATTGAGGATTAAAAAAATCTAATGAGTATTAGCAAAATTCACAGAAATCATGCCCAATGACAGGCACACAGAAGTAGAAGTGGAAATAAACCCAAAAGGTTTTCCATCCGTGGTTGTGTGGACTTTTCATGTATGGCAGGTGGGCAGATGAAAGCCAATATGATAAAAGTCCACCTCATCCTATTCCCGGTGTTAAAATCATTGTTTGCTGGGAAGACGCTGAACCCCACCAACATGTAGCCCCCTACTCTAGCAGGTGGGGAAGATTCTCTTCTGAGCCTCTGCCCTCTATCCAGTACATTTATCACCATATGTCCACATTTTCTCATCCTCAAGAAAGAAAAATATGGACAAAGGAGGGGGAAAGAAAGTTGATATGGTAAAGAAAAGGGGGAGGAATCAACGGCATCCATGCGAATCTAAGTTTTAATTTTTGTTTAAATCTCAAACTCAGTTACCTTATGGGGCCAATAGACAATAGCAATCTTTGAAACAGCCTAGGGAGTACCATGCAGCCCTAAGGGACAGCTTCTTCTTAGCTTTAGAAATTCTTTGCATGTTTCTATTATAATCTTAGAATCTAATTTTTCAAGAGACACAGAGTATTTTTGAAATAAAACATTTTCTGATTTTTACTTAACAGTGTGATGCTTCTTATTGTGCCAACTGTCTCAGCCAAACTATATTTCCCAGAGTTCCCTTTCTGTATGTTTCCAGCTATTGTGGGTTCCATGGAGATTCTTCTGAGAATTGGAGGGCTGATGGGGGAGTCAGCAGTCATTGTGTAATACTCAGGCATTGTTGCTGATCTGTTGATTTATGTGTCTGGTTGATGGGAAGCAGCAGCTGAGCCTGCAATCACTTCCCCTGCCCATTGGGTCTTCCTTTAATTGTCTGACTCCTGGGCCAGGGGTGTGTGTGTGTGTGTGTGTGTATGTGTGTATGTTCAACTCTGTGACAAAGAGGCTCAGCTTCTGCTGGTTACTCTAGTCACCAAGCCTACTTGTAATTTTCCTTTCCTGCCTGCCTGCTAGGGTCCATCATTAGAGAGACAGCATTGAGAACGGGGCAGATAGCCATCCACCAAAATTGCATAAGCCAATTACTGTCACACACACACACAATCTTTTACTGGCTCTGTTTTTCTAGTTGAACCCTGACTGATACAGATGTTAACTAATTCAAATATTTCAGAAATGCAATGTGGGGACTTTCTATTTCTGGTAATGGCTGATTAGGTTATTTGGACCATCCTTTCCACTGAAAAAAATTAAGAAGCTGGGTTTGATACTAAAGCTTTTTTTTTTTTTCGATATAGAGTCTTGCGCTGTCACACAGTCTGGAGTGCAGTGGCATGATCTCGGCTCACTGCAGCCTCCACCTCCCAGGTCCAAGCAATTCTCCCACCTTAGCCTCCAGGGTAGCTGGGATTACAGGTGCACACCAGCATGCCTGACTAATGTTTGTATTGTTTTTAATAGAGTCAGTGTTTCACCATGTTGGCGAGGCTGGTCTCAAACTCCTGACCTCAAGTGATCCTGCTGTCTTGGCCTCCCAAAGTGTTGGGATTACAGACATAAGCCACCATGCCTGGCCATTAAAACTATCTTTAAAGACCCAGAGAACTACAACAACTTAATGATCAGGGTCAAACTGAAGGGGACATTGAACCTAGAAAGGTAATAAGCAAGGAAGCTGCTTTTGCCCTGATAGGCTTTTGCTCATGATGGAAATTGTGTGTTCACCCTTTGATAGCCTTGAAAGGTGAGGAGCCTACAGTCAAGAGCTGAGGCTTTCCCAGAGTGAGAAATCTCACAGGAAAGCTTCCCTGCAACAAGCTAAGACATACAGATTATATATTTGAAAATAAACCAAATAGAACATCTGGAAATAAAATACAAAACCTGAAATTAAACACTCAGTGGATGCATAGAATAGAAGTTTAAACAAAAAATTGGTGCATTGCAAAAAGTGTAGGAAAAAAAATTGCCCACAGAGCAGTAAAGAAAGACGAAGGATGGAAAATACTAAAAACAATTCATTGACAGAGGAGATGGAGTAAAAAGGTTCATTTTATTTTATATGCAAATATATATGGAATCTTAGAAGGAAAGAAAAAAAATGACAGAAGCCATATTTGCTTTCATGATAGTTTAGAGTTTTTGCAGAACTGAGGAAAGTGATCCATCTAGCCATCTCAAACACATATTTAGACACACTATAGAAAAACTGCACAAAATGTAAGAAAAAAATACTAAATGCTGTCGGTGGGGGGAGGGGGAATATAAATTATCATCAAAAGAACTGTATTAAGACTAACAGTTAACCTCTCAAGAACAGCAATAGATGCTAGAGGGTGGTGGAAGTTTATCTTCAGTGTGCTAAAGGAAAATAACCACCAACACAAAATTTTATATCCAGTGAAAATATCATTCCAGAATGGAGGAAATGTAGATTCTCATCTATTACTACATTAAACAAACAAAGACATTTCTGCACAAAAACAAAAATAAAAACTCCAAAGAGTTTCCCACCAGTAGACCGCATGAAAGGAACTTCTAGAGGAAGTACAAGATGATGATCCCAAATGGGCAGAAGATACAAGAAAAAACGTTTCACAAAGAATATGTGAATATGTAGACATATCTAAATGAACCATGATCAAAACATAGAATAATGTCTTATGTGTTTAAAAGTCTATTAGATTAAATTTCAAAAATAAACTGATGAGGGACCAGTGGAATTAAAATTGTTCCAATGCCCTGGTATTGCCCAGAAGGAGAGTAAACATGTCTAAGTTTTATACTCAAGAAAATAAGGCATAACTATATTTGTTTCCTAAAAAGGCAATTCTTTATATTGACAAAAATGAAAAAGAATTTTCTTCTACAGAACAAACAAAAACAAACCACTGTGTGGTTAATTGAGACTTGACAATGAGCAGAAACACTGTCTATAAGCAGCCAGTTTCCACTCTGCAAGTTTGGCTTCTGGGAGAAGATCCAATAAGTGCTGGCAAGGAAGAATCCATTTCCCCATCAAGCCGCAAAAGATTAGAGGAGGCACAAATGCATTACTTTAAAAAATATTTTATTTTAAATCCCGAAGTTTGCCTTTTCTCTCCCAAACACAGGAGATATCAGCCGCATTTAAGGTTCTGTCTCAGAGCCCAGCGGTAGGTCTAACAAGACTAACTTCAAGCAGAGGGATGAGTCAATCACCCTGTTACAAAGATGTCAGAGGGGAAATAAGGAAAATCAGTCTATATTCCCTTGGTGGAGGGAAAAAAAAGAGCCAGTAGCTACATGATGAAATGTTCTTTGGGAATGAATTAAAATGCCCTAAAGCTTCCCGGAATTCTCTCTTGATGATGAGCTAAATTAAGCAGAAAACCTGTGTTCTAAGAAGCATCAAAGACAAATTAAGCATCAGAGAAAAAGTAAATTACACATTTATTGACTGTTTTATGAGGTTATGGAGATAGTTCATTAAATATTCCCCTCAAAAGATGATTCTTCTTATAAAGAGAGTCAGGAGCAGCAAAGTGATCAATAAACATTGGCATATTCACAACAGACTCAAGGCAACTTGTGACTAACCGTGTTTTCTTTTCTTTTTTTTTTTTTTTTTGAGACAGGGTGGTCTCACTCAGTCGCCCAGGCTTGAATGCAGTGGCGCGATCTCGGCTCACTGCAACCTCCGCCTCCCGGGTTCCAGTGATTCTCCTGCCTCAGCCTCCCAAGTAGCCGGGACTACCAGCGCCCACCACCACACCTGGCTAATTTTTGTATTTTGGTAGAGATGGGGTTTCCCCATGTTTCCTACTGGCTTTGGCAAACCCAGGTATGGAAATCCCCAGGAAACCAATTATTTCACTGAGTCAGAAGACTGGCCAGTGTTTACTGCGTCCATCTTGAAAATTCTACCACTATGGATTTCATAAAAAGCCACAACTCAAACAAAACTGAAACCCACATACACTCAAGGACTGAATCGAATATCTCATTGCTAGAAAACATGCAGTCGAATGTTTCTCCAGAATTCAGAACTCTACTGGAAAGGAGCCAAGTATTCCCTTCTAAGAGTGTCTCTTGTTGTTTATAACATAATAAGTTTCCATGGGACTTATGTGCAGCAATGTACAACATCATTTTGTGTCAAATTGAGGCCAAAATATTTTATTGTACAAGTTGCTTCGAGGGACCACCTACTTCTGTTTTCCCCAATGCCCTCAAAATTACCTACAAAATGAATAAACTAATTGAATCTCTTTTTTCATAGGGAAAAAATGAACTCTCCACATGAAAAGATCCTAGTGCATGTCACAAAGTGGGACAATCTAAAATAAACTTTTCCAGTGTGACTGGCCACATTTGGTCCCCTACCAAATAGCGACCAGAAAGACTTAAGGTCCCAGCTCACATGCAGAATTGAAACAAATTTTTAGCCTGATTTTGATTGAGGCATATTCTCCTATGACTGCTATTGCAGGATGGTAAAAATGTTGGGAACTCTAGATGACATGCCCATTGTTGAGTAAACTGCTAGCAAAGTCACACTTTGAATGAGGTTTCATGTGTAGTTTGCTCTAAATTGAGCCAGAATAAATACTTCTTTGCCACTGAAAAACTGTTAACTTTGAGCCATTGGCTTTTCAAATTTCTTTTGCTGAAAGATTTACAAAATATCTGTTTGTTACTTTCAAAGGAGTTGTTTATTTACCAATGGCTTAGAAAATTATATTGATATGATTTTCTAAGTTGATCAAGGTTCAGAATAGCTCAAAATAGTAATATCCCAGAGCAAACAGTAATGTAAAAAAAGAGCTTCCTCCCTGTTAAGACAAGATTAGGAACATGAAACACACTATTACATTAGTTAGAATAAGTGGATGAAGAGAAAGTAAATTATTATATACAACAACATGGTGAAAGAAATGGAAGAACAGGAAGAAATATGATGTCATGTAGCCTATACATACTTTTGGTGTCTGCAAAAACTTAGCTATGATCACTTTCTAGTTAAAAAACTTCATCCCATCTTGTTGCAGGAAGTCAGGGACCCCATATGGAGGGACCGGCTGAAGCCATGGCAGAAGAACGTGGATTGTGAAGATTTTATGGACATTTATTAGTTCCCCAAATTAATACTTTTATAATTTCTTACGCCTGTCTTTACTGCAATCTCTAAACATAAATTGTAAAGATTTCATGAACACTTATCACTTCCCCAATCAATACCCTTGTGATTTCCTATGCCTGTCTTTATTTTATTCTCTTAATCCTGTCAGCCGAGGAGGATGTATGTCACCTCAGGACCATGTGATAATTGCATTAACTGCACAAATTGTAGAGCACATGTGTTTAAACAATATGAAATCTGGGGCACCTTGAAAAAAGACCAAGACAACAGCAATGTTTAGGAAACAAGAGAGATAACCTTAAACTCTGACCGCTGGTGAGCCGGGCAGAACAGAGCCATATTTCTCTTCTTTCAAAAGCAAATGGGAGAAATATCGCTGAATTCTTTTTCTCAGCATGGAACATCCCTGAGAAAGATAATGTGCGCCTGCGGGTGGGTCTCTAAACTGGCCCCCCGGGCATAGCTGTCTCTTACTGTTGAGGCTGCAGAGATGCAATAGACTCCAGTCTCCCATAGTGCTCCCAGGCTTATTAGGAAGAGGAAATTCCCACCTAATAAATTTTGGTCAGACCAGTTGATCTCAAAACGCTGTCTACTGATAAGATGTTATCAATGACAATGGTGCCCAAAACTTCATTAGCAATTTTAATTTTGCCTCGGTCCTGTGGTCCTGTGGTCCTGTGATCTCGCCCTGCCTCCACTTGCCTTGTGATATTCTATTACCCTGTTAAGTACTCGTCTGTCACCCACACCTATTTGCACACTCCCTCCGCTTTTGAAAATCTCTAATAAAAACTTGCTGGTTTTTGCGGCTTGTGGGGGCATCACGGATCCTACCAACGTGTGATGTCTCCCCCGGACACCCAGCCTTAAAATTTCTCTCTTTTTTACTCTGTCCCTTTATTTCTCAAGCCAGCCGATGCTTAGGAAAAATAGAAAAGAACCTACGTGAATATCGGGGCAGATTCCCCGATACCATCTGTAAATTAGTTGAGGGAGGAACTCTATTCTCCTCAGTAACCTGTGGCAAAGTTTGGCATGGTTTCTTCTTCATAAGAAGGTTACAATTGTCTTTAATATTACCTGCTGCAATGTCAGCTCACGTTCCTCATCCAAAACCCAGTAATGGAACCATTCATAAAGTTCTAGATGTCACGAAATCACTCTGTTTTCTTATCTGACTGAATGGAACTGACTCCGTGGACTTGTTTTAGAGATACTATTGATCAGTTTCATTTCCTTGGGTTGTTCCTTGTTTTGTTTCTGCTTTTGCTAATTTCCCTCATGTCTATGTCAAGATTCAAAGCCTGTTTCAGTACTAGATGTGGAGAGGGATTATTTCAAAGCCAGTGTTACTGTATTTTCCATCCATGCCCCACAGTTACAGGAGCATCAGCGACTGCTATGCTGGCCTGGCCTCTCCTCACCACCCATTTATTAATACCTACTTTGCTGTCCTGTGCTTTGGTCTTTCTTCACATGTCTCACACTTGATTTTGTTCTTTTACTCTACTGTCTATTGCTGCTCCTGTTGTCATTGTCATTTCCCTTTATTAACCACCATGTCCTACAATGTTAACAGTCATGATTTATTATTTTATTAATAAAATCACAGCTTTAAGGCACAACGTTTTTAAGCCATGAAGAAAAACCCTCAAGAAATGCTTTAGTTTGACATGGAACCAACAATCTTCATGGGCAACCTTCAAATCCAGACACAAAAAGATGGTCATGGAGCAACCTCATGGAAGAAAAGCACAGAGGAATTCATCATGGTACCTATTTACAATAAAAAACGCAGACAATAGAACTACTAAAAATTCATAGAAACACTTCAGATCTCTTTCCAAGGGGCCAGAAAGGAAGAAACAAAAAATTGTTATAAACATGGCTGTAACGTACACTGTATGTAACCTGTCTACCCAGTTGCTATTTCCCCTCTATTTCTTTGATGATAAAATATCAGTTTTGTTCAGGTACCTGATGACCATGGAACTGAGGAAAACTGAACTCTCTCTAGCCTTGTGAGTGAATCTTAATTACTCTAAGCCAATCATGAAAGTGATACCCTACTGCCCATGATTGGTTTAAGAATGGGAATATGAGGCCATTGTACCCAATGAGGAAACACCAGCTAGAGGGGATGTAGGAAGGTTTTTCTCAATCCTAGAAAGGGTTACAAAATGAAGACATTTGCTGCACGTCCTTTGAGTGGTTTCATGTAAGGTTATGATGTGTGGAGCTAGGGCAGCCATCTCATGACTGAGTTCACGGTCTGGATCTAGAAGGCAACAACAGTGGAAATTCTAAAAATACCTGGAGATGAAATTGTTAAGCCACTAAATTAATCACTGTTACAACTGTAGTACCTCTGAATTTCCAGTAACGTGGCTTACTAAATACTATAACTGTTGAAGCCAGTTTTAATTGGGCTTATTGTAAAATTGCAGCTGAATGCACCCTGACTGTTAATAAATCAGCCAAAAGTTATTAGTTCTTTTCATGTCCAGTTATATCCAGGGAAGAAGTTTAAGGGTGCTTCCACATTTACTGAGGTTGATTTTAATCATGATGACCTAGAGCAGTAACAAGAAAATCTTTGTATGGGTTACTGATACTGAGAGTTATATAATTTAAACACATTAATGATTTTACATTCACATTTTATCTGTAAGTAAAATAGTTAACATTGTTGAACCAAAACACGCATGAAAAAAAAAAGCAAAATGAAACTCTGAAAAGAACCATATTACCTAAATTTTTTTGAAATACAAAAACTAGCTGAGCCATCAACCATAAGCAAATTCTATTATGTCAGTGTACAAAGTAATGACAAATTTAAAACCAGACAGCATAGATTAGAAATGTATGTATCTGAATATATCACCTGAGACTGATTATTATTAAAGTGTTTCTTAAATTTCAGTCAAACTGGATCTTTTGCTCTAAATAATTTGAGCATTTTAAAAAGATCAATTCTGATTGGAAAGTATAGCAATTTCTGAAATTATGTTAAAATTTATTCCACTTTATTAGTGCATAATCAACCTGAGAGGGTGGCTGAGAAGATCTACATTATATGTTTATAGGAGAAACGTAAGAATTAGCACCATATCTAAGTAATTATTAATTCTTGCTTGAGAATCTATATTGCCAACCCTAAAAACTTAGAAATTAAAAATATTAAATAAATGTCTTATATAATAAATATGAAAGCATAAGAGCACAAAGAACCATGAAAATATATTTAGAATTATCCATAAGAAATCTATAAGAAGTAAACTGGTGAATGAAACATACAATTAAATAAAACTAACGTTTTTTAACTTTTAGGACTCGAGAAATGCTTGTGTGGAATGGCAGTACTTTTTAGAGTAGATATTTTAAATTGAAAATAGAAGCGCAGGAAAATTGAAAAACACAATTTCCACAAACAGAAAACTATTCAGTGATGAATCAAAATGGAAGGAATGTTCTAAAACTGAGATGCCATTTGGTAACCTCAAAGTATTTGATCTACAGATACTCAGTTCATTCAAAGTTAATATTCATAAGACAATTAATTTTAACCAAACAATGAACATAAGATAATTTTAAAGCAGAGCCCCAATCAACTGTTACTATGGGAAACAAAAGATTTGCTTTTCTCTGATTTATGAGACTATTTTGCTAGATAAAAACCAAAGTGATTTTGGTGCAGGGCATCCTCTGCTGGACAGAGGGTGGCATTACAACATTACATCAGCTATTTAGAACTGACGTTTACTTAGTAGTACCCAAACTGAAGGTTTGGTTAGTCTCTGATTCTCCAGGGGAAACGGACTATAAAAATACCTTTGTCTGAGCCATACCCCAGATTAGTTAAAGCCAAATCTCTGGGGCTGGGTTCTGCATATTTGCAGTTTTTAAAAGCTCACCAGGTGATGATAAATGCTTACTGAATATTGCTATATTTTTTCCTTCATTGAGAAAGATACATGAGTTTCATATGCAAGAACTGATCTGAGACTGTGTACAAGGTACTTATGTAAACCAGGAAGGTTTTACTCTTACTAAATGGAAATCAAATAAAATAATTGTTCATTTTAATTCAGTTCCGTTTACCTTGGGCTTTTCATCCAGGATCTGCTGACGTATTTCCTTGTGTTTCTCTACGAGTTTTTCTTGCCGTTTACTTTGCGCTTCTTCTAGCTATAAGAAAGTTACAAGAAACATTACTTTCATCTAAACATTTAAAAGTGCACGTTTTCAGAAAATACCGAAAGCTTTTCAGATCTATGGCTTACATTTGATTATTTGATCTCCTGATCAAGAACTACACTTACAAGTATAGGAAACTGTAGTAAGTGTTGAAGCTAGGTGACAGAAACATAAGGGTGGGAGGTGGTGATCAATGGACTGCACTGTTCTTACCTTTTTATAAATATGTAAACATTTCTATGACATTAAATTGGAAAAAAAAAGGACAGCCCTTCGAGGTTGCCATCATCTCTATCATTGATGACAATTAAAGGTTCTTTTGGGAACACTATCATTTACAATATGTTTCTGGGCTCTTGACTTTGGAAATGACTTGACTCTATTTTTAGATGAATCCTTTTACAAAGTGGTTTGCAATTCAACTTGCAGAAATGTTGATTAAGGAGTGCCCACCCTGTGAAACAGCTCTGCTAGGTGCTAGTGATAAAAAGTTATGGCAAGGCATGACATTTCCTTCCAGAAGCTCACAGCGAGCTCACCAAATGTTCACACATGTTTTGCAAAGGAGAGAGCGTGATGAGCCCACATACCCTCTTGATATACTGCACCACTTCCTGGATATATGACCGGATCATCTCTGTCTTCTCCCTAAAAGCAAATGATGAATACATCATTATACCAATTCATCCAGAATTGACAAATGGTAATCTCAGACTTCTAGATAAAAGGTTACAGAACTCTCAACATTCTTTTTCTTTTTTCCTTATTTTTATCTATTTATTTATTGGAGACAAGGTTTCGCTCTGTTGCCCATGGTAGAGTGCAGTGGCACCATCATGGCTCACTGAAGCCTTGACCTCCCATGCTGAAGCCATCCTCCAGCCTCAGCCTTCTGAGTAGCTGGAAATATAGGTGTGCACCACCACACCCAGCTAATCTTAAAATTTTTTTGTAGAGACAGAGTCTCCCTGTGTTGCCCAGGCCCCTATTGAACTCCTGGCCTCAAGCAATCCTCCCACCTAGGCCTTTCAAAGTGCTGAGATTACAAGTGTGAGCCATAGCAACATTCTTATTACTGCTACAAGGAAGGTATAATCTGCCAGCCTTTGGACAAAGGTCAGGTTCCTCCCAAGGCACAGGCTCTGTTTTCACTAAATGCCAGGAAGATTATGGGTAGGAAGTGAGGATTTAGCCTTTCCCTGAGGGAAGCTCTTTGCTTACTCTTTATCTAAAAGGCCCTGGGTGTGCCTCACTCCTTTATTGAACCAGTCTTTGCTTGAGCCTTCCCTGTTAAAAACCTTACCAAAAGAATCTTTTGAAAGGCTGACTAGAGGAGAAACTTCACGAAGGAGTCTTTGACTGGTTATGAACCTGTGACTCTGACGTACAAAATAAAATAATTCCCAGATGAACTGTTTGGGAGAGGGGACACTTTTGACTTACTCTTCCATCTGACTTTTGTCTTTGGATTTAGCTTCTGTTATCTTCTCCTGCCTCTTTTTATCCATTTTCTTCTTTAATTCTTTCTTTTCTCTGAAGTCACAATGGAAGTAAAAGAGAAAAAAGAGGCAAATCAGATGGGAATTTGTGTTGAATAAATTCAGATGCACATGTCAATTGTAATGGGAATGAGGGCTTACTTCTCACAGATTTCTTTGAGCTTCTTTAACTGATTGTTCTGACACTCTTCTGCGACATCCGTCAACTTTTGAATAAGCTGGAAAAAGAAAATGTCAGTTTGCTATTTCAAATGATTGCAAACAGAGCTTCCTTCCCACCTCCCTCAAACAACAGAATCTATAGTTAGAATATCTGTGATGGATGTTTCACAATAGTTAAAGTTGTCAGACATCTAACATTGGCAATGAGGACAATTTAGAACCATCATATTATCTAGGCTTATGGGTTTTAATATGAAATTCTTCTTATTATCTCTTTTTAATTAAACAGAATTCATTAGATTGTTGTGGCAGTTATTATAGCCCAGCTCAGTGCAAAGACAACTTACAGTGTAGAACCTGGTTCCAATCTCTACCCTAAGACTTATTAAAAGTGAAATTTGGGGCAAGACCCTACATTTTCAGAACCTACATTTTCTCAGTTGATCACTGTCTTTATGTCTTTGGAGGTGCTGTGAAGCTCAAAATAAAAATAAGTATGACACAAATGTAAGTTATAATCAACAGCAAGTTATAATTCTTGGCTCACAACTATCATTCATTGTTGAATTGCTTTGAGGATAACATGAGTTTCCCATCTTAGAAGTTGACATTTATGTTCTTGCGTGGGTAATTTCCAGTAGATATAAAGAACATCAGAAATTCTCTTTGTGCTTTCAATGAACTGTCACTACATCACTGTGAACGCAAGTATTTATTGTCATACATCTATTATCAAATCAAGCCCCAAGGGGGCATCAATTGTGTTTTTGTATCCTTGGTATTCTGCACAATTCCTAATATTCACTTGATGCCCAGTAAGTGTTTGCCAATTACATAAAGGTAATTGTGCCTGGTAATCTTTTCCTTTTTTCCTCATGAGGAACCTGGAGAACCTTCTGCAAGGTTTTCAGGTGGCTGTAGCAACTGGACTCAACCCTTCTTACTGGAGCACCCAATAGACAGTGTGGACATCCTCTGAAAGCCCCCACTGCTTTTCCCATAGATGGAGATTCTCTTTCCCAAAAACATATAAGGCAAGCTGAGTTGACTAGTCTTCTATAAGTGGCAGCTGTAATAGTGACAAGACAAATCATAATACCACAAACTTTTGAGACAGCCAAGTATAAGGGAGTCCCCGGAAAAACTGCAACGGGCCTGCTCACTGGGAGGAATGCACACTGAGGTGGAGCCACAGAAATCCACCCCATTTGCAGCAGGGAGGAGCCTGGCCACTCCTCTTCCTGGGTGGAACTTGGAATTCAATCTGCAAGGTGGGAAGCACACTAGCAGGGACTCCAGCCTTGTGGAGATAACCTGTTTCCCTCTTTTCCTTTCAACACAATAAAACCCTGTCCTCCTCACTCTTCAAATTGCCTTCAAGCCTAACTTTTTGTGGCCATGTGACAAGGAACCCGTCTTTAGCTGAACTAAGGATAGGGTCCTACAACACTTTAACTGATAATTTCTATATGTCAGGCCTAGTTTTAAAAGATTCACATGTGGCTGGGCACAGTGGCTCACACTTTAATTCCAGCACTTTGGGAGGCCGAGGCAGGTGGATCGCTTGAGGTCAGGAGTTTGAGACTAGCCTGGCCAACACGGTAAAACCCTGTCTCTACTAAAAATACAGAAAGTTAGCCAGGCCTGGTGGTGGGTGCCTGTAATCCCAGCTACTTGGGAGGCTGAGGCAGGAGAATCACTTGAATCCGGGAGGTGGAGGTTGCAGTGAGCCGAGATTGCACCACTGCACTCCAGCAACTCTGGGCACACTCTAGGCAACAAGAGCAAAACTCTGTCTCAAAAAAAAAAAAAACAAAAAAGATTCACATGTATTTATTTAATTCTGAGAATTGCCCTATGCGGTTGGTGTTATTATTTTTGTTTTACATAAGAACACGCTGACACATCTGGCTCAAGTCCTGGGCTCAGGGCCCCAAAGCTGGTAAGTGGCTGAGATGGGTACAAACCCAGACAAATAAGGTTCCATGGCTTGCAAGAGAATTACGATACGGAATCCACATTCGTTTAAAATTATCATGAAATTTGATGCATTCATCTGTGAAGTGGATTAAATCTGAACAAATATTAACTAGGACTTGGGCCAGCAGAAAGCCTATTTGATCATTCAAAAGGGATTGCCTAATCATGATTATCACAATTAAAGAAATCATGAGGCATTACTTTGTAGTCATGCCATTTATCAAGCTGTCTAGATGTAAAATTCCAGTGTGCAAAGACTCTGGCCATTTCCTTGGGGTCTCCTGCAACGTCTCTATTTAGCTGAAAGTGTCCTCTCACTAGCACCTTCCCTTCCCTAGAGGGCTTTTCTCCTCTTCCAACCACTTGAAGGAGTTACAGAGAGTTATCCAGGGATCACCTTCCTTGGCTGCAACATCAGAATCATGTGGGGGAACTTCTTAAAAATACAGATTCCAGGACCTATGGACTCCAAATGTCTAGGGGTAGGGCCTGGGAATCAATATTCTCAAAATCTCCTGAGGTGATTTGGATGCTTTGTGCCAGACTTGAAGTGGGAGGTTGTCTTGGTGGACCCTCCCTCATTCTACAAGCCACTGCTAAGTCTCCCAGCAACTCTTTTGAATTCAGTAACAATTATATTCCTGTTTCCATGTCCTCATCTCTATCATTCACCTGACTTCAGAATATTTTCTTGATTATGCCAGCATCTGCTCACATGTGCTGTTTCCCTTCCGCCTACTGCCTTTATCCTCAGCAGCATCGGCCTCCAGTCAATATTGAGACTAAGCTGGAGAACTCACAGACCTTCTGCCCACTCAGTTCTGACTTTTATGTTGGTTTGGTGTCAGGCTCCACACCACTGTCAGTGCCACACTCCCTCCAGACTCCCCAGAAGTTCCCTGTCTGCCACGTCCTTTTGCCTCCCTCTTGGCTCCCATCACACCCCCTGCATTTGCCCTTTACCCCTTGCAGAACAAGTTTCCACCTCCTGTGGTCCCAGAACACACACTTATCTAAACTATCTGATTCAGCCACGATGCAATGGATATTTATTAAGCACCTACTAAATAGCAGGCACTGTTCTAGAAACTCTGAGCTGATGACCTGGCTTTCTAGATCTTGCTACTCAAAGTGTAGTCCACATACCAGTGGCAAGAGCATCACCAGGGAGCACATTAGAAATGTAAGTTCTCGGGCCCTACTCCAGATCAACTAAGTCAGAATCTACATGTTCAACAAAATTCCCAGGAGATTTGAGTGCACATTAGAGTTTGAAAAGCATTGTCTTGGTGGTTGTGGAAGATGGAGACAATCTGGAAGAAACCATTTCAATTTCTCTCTGCCCCTTCCCTTTCTAAGCCAGCCTTAGGTAATTCTCCCCTTTGACTGCCCAGATAACTCTGGGTGTTGGCCCCCTAATTGGTTTTTCCTACAGGGTATCATTTACAGACATACCTTTTGTATGTAAATATCTTATTATTGCTCCCACAAAGGGATGTCACCATTTCAACCTTCCATTCTTAATAAATGTTTAGAATCCCAGGCTCTAGACAAAATAGGCACTGAAAAAAATGATTGTGAATGAAATCTTTTAAGTTTCAAAACTACACTGGACCCGACCTCAGCGATAGCTCTGAAAGCTCACATTCAAGCCACAGGCTGCCTTATTGGAAATACTTTTAAAATTATATAGGTTTGGTGTTTAACAAGCTAAATTTTGTTCCTTCCGGAAAAAGCATCTTAATGTGAAATCCAGGTGTATTTTTTAAACTGAGGCTTTTGCATGCAATTAAATGAAAATGGTGTTTCCCTAGAATCCCAAGGAGTATATGTTTTCAGAGGATATCTGTTTAATATGTAAAATATGTAAATGTCCTACTGTACTCAGTTTGCCTTCATCTCCCCCACAGTGCCTTACTACACAGCCCCACCTCTGCTCATCTCAGCCTTTTTTTTTTTTTTGAGATACAGTGTCGCTCTATTGCCCAGGCTGCAGTGCAGTGGTGCAATCTCGGCTCACTGCAACCTCCACTTCCTGGATTCAAGGGATTGTAGTGCCTCAGCCTCCCGAATAGCTGGGATTCCAGGCGTGTGCCACCATACCCAGCTAATTTCTGTAATTTTAGTAGAGACAGGGTTTCACCATGTTGCCCAGGCTGCTCTTGAACTCCTGACCTCACGTGATCTGCCCTTCTCAGTCTCCCAAAGTGCTGGGATTACAGGTGTGAGCCACCGAGCCCGACCTCAGCTAGTTTTCAGAAGACCCTCACTCCTACTGAAGTTCTGCCCACACGGCATTTACTATTTTTATTTAAATTTTGTCTACTGAACCTCCAGGAGACAGAATAATTAATATTATGATTTTGTTAATATTAAATAGTATGCCACTACCGCCCAACTCACATTAAATTGGCAATGGGATTTTATATGGGCATCAATAATTTATCTCTTTTTTATGCTACAAAGAGAGGATGTGAGGTACACCTGTAGTTTTCTCTACCCAATACTAACTACTTCTCCAGGAAGAACTTCCTCTGCTTTCTGAGAATGGCCTCACCCACATGCTTCCCTTGGGAGCTGCTGTATATTTTACCCCCCATCTCTTGGCCAAGATAATTGGTCCAGGGGAGGCATTAATCCAAGTTGGGTCAGTCATACTCTGACTTCTGGTTGCAGACTTGGTCATCATGGGACCCAAACAAGGTTTTCCCCAAGATTTTTCCTACATGTCAATGGAGAAATAAAACTCAGAAGGGATCAGTGCCTGTATTTTCTATCAAGGGGAAGCCTGTCTTGCTACTTTGGAAAAGAATAACACTAATATGCAGAGAAAAGCAGGGGCAGAGTTTGGACAGCCCCCTTTCTTATGTGATATACCCTTTGTACTTTTCTAGTATATACCCTTCTGGCCTAAGTTAGTCCAGCATGGAATTCTGTGGCTTGCAATCAAAAGAATAAGGATAAAATAAAAACAAACAAAAACAGAAATAAAACAACTCTGCTTAATCTCTAAACAAGATAAACTTCTGTGTTTTGGGCTCAAAGTTCTTACTGCATAAGATGTGAAAATAGTACCCAGAAGAGTGATTTTTCATATAATAATTGAAGTGCTTTGTGACTAACATAAAGGCAAGGTATACTAACTTTTGGTGTATTTATCAGCAGGCTGGCTCTGTTCAAAGAGCCATTCGATCATTTATTAGTCACAAAACTCTGAAAGTAAACTGACTATTAAAGGTAGAGAAGAAGCAAAAATTCACTTGGACTTCCTAGGAAATAAATTAAGAAGGTATGTGGTAAACTGAATGGTAGTAAACAACATTTAATTTTCACTTTTGGTATGATTTTCTTTTCTGTCCCAAAGGAACAGACACATCTCAATTACTTTTTGCTGGTTTGTTTGCCATTCATGATAACTCTCCCAGCTCAATGTTCCAAACCTTTTAAGGAGTTAACAGAAAGGCCCTGGGGAATAAAACTTCACGCTTGTTCTCAACTCTGCTAAATTTCACTTGGTTTAGTCATCTGAGGGCAAGAAAATGGTTTCCATGGAGGAGAATAATTCCTTGACTCTAACTCAAAAGGGATAAAAAATATGTGGACAGAAATTTGTATGTTTGGAGTCTCTTCTAAGAAGGATAATCTTGGAACATAGGCAAAAAGCCAAGTCTAGAATATTCATATTTCGGGCTCAACACATCTTCCTTTCCCTTCCACTAATGTCTAAAGAAGATGCCTCTTTCTTTCCTTTTAGTCAAAGCATTTACTCTGGATTTTCACTATACATTGTTTTTCTTCTACAAGAAATTAATTTACAAAACATCTGAACTAAGTAATGATCTACACAGCAAGCACATCACCAACAATTTGAAAACAAGGTAGAGGCAGGAGGATCACTCAAAGCCAGGAGTTTGAGACCAACCTGGGCAACATAGTGAGACCTGTCTCTTAAAAAATAGAGAAAATTAGCTGGGCATGGTGGTGCGTGCCTGTAGTCCCAGCTACTTGGGAGGCTGAGGTAGGAGGACCACTAAAGCCCAGGAGATGGAGGCTGCAGTGCACCAAGTTTGTACCACTGCCCTCCAGCCTGGGCAACAAAGCTAGACTTGGTCTCTAAAAAAACAAAAACAAAAGCAAAAACAAGGAAGATGTTTATATGGGAGTGTGACCTGACCATTCATTCAAAGAATATTTACCTACTATGTGCCAGTACTATGCTAGTATTGATGGTCCAACCTTCCTCTGTGAGCAGACAGAGAGGGCCCTGTCTACCCAGAGCTATAATCTCTACTAGCTCCCTTCTCTTTTCAGAAGGAGAAAGTCTTGGACAAAAAAGTCAAGCATCTTGATCATTCTATGAGATATTCTTTCACACCTATAAAATTCTTATTTTTAAAATTTCCATAGCTAAATAGAACTTATATTAAAATAGCTGCTTATTTGAGTCTCAATGTTATAATAATCTTTGAAATTTTTTTTCCTTGCTGAGCAAAGAAAAAATGAATGTGAAAGTCTGACCAAGGCTTCTATTCAATGTGGAGTTGCCACCTGACATGGTTTGGCTCTGTGTCCCCACCCAAATCTCATCGTGTAGCTCCCATAATTCCCATGTGTTGTGGGAGGGACCTGGTGGGAGATGATTGAATTATGGGGGTGGGTCTTTCCTGTGCTGTTCTTGTGATAGCGAATAAGTCTCACAAGATCTAATAGTATTATATTGGGGAGTTTCCCTGCACAAGTTCTCTTTGCCTGCCGCCATCCACGTCAGACGTGACTTGCTCCTCCTTGCTTTCTGCCATGATTATGAGGCCTCCCCAGCCATGTGAAACTATGAGTTCAATTAAACCTCACAGTTTGGGTATAAATTGCCCAGTCTTGGCTATGTCTTTATCAGCCATGTGAAAACGGACTAATACACCACCTCGAGTAGGGAACTAGATAAATAAATTAAGCTACATTCATGCAATAAAGTAATACGAAGCCATGAAAAAGCGTTAAAAAGCATGACATGAAAAATCACCATGGCATAATGCTAAGTAAAAGAAGCAAATTGAAAACTATATGGATTTGGATCTTTGTGTGTGTGTGTGTGTGTGTGTGTGTGTGTTTGTGTGTGTGTGTGTGTGTTTGTGTGTGTGAATCCCACTGGGGTAATAATCAGGAAAATTGACAAAAATGTCAACAATTATTTTATTTCTTATTTCACTACTAACATCTTTTGCTTATTTGTCATTTCTTGTTTAGTAGAAAAATGCAACATTTTTTGGGAAAGCTAAATTATTTTTCAAAAAAAAAATGACCCTATGTAAAGTCCAAATATTGGAGGAAGACAGATGGCACTACCACAACTGACAGTAGGGATACTTCCTGAGACTGCAATTACTCCTGGCACATATACATCACCTAGGCAACCACAGAAAGGAGAACATTCAAGTGTGGCTCCCAGATAGCTGGGAGAGCACATAGTGCTGGTAGAAATCATTCAAGGAGAGACAATGAGTTCCCTCAAGCTGTAGCAAGATATAAAAAACTGTAATACTTGTTTATATTTGAAGTGCATATAGATTTCCTAGTCAATTCAGGTATTGTACAGAAAAAGGCTTTCATTAAAAACAATATTTTAGGTGCATTATCTTGTTGTTCCTCCTTACAGTTTCATGAGGTAAGAGATATTTTTATCTCCATTGAACAGGTGAGAAAATTGACATTCAGGTGGTCATGCAGTGACTTGGTGGAGGAGCAGTGGCCTGAAATGAGGACATATGACCCTAGACCCCCCACTCAGCACCTGATTGCTTGTCCTGGTGGGCTCGTCCATTCATAGCTGATCTGTATCTGCCCAGAGCTTGCGGTCTGAAACACAACTTTTTAGCTTTCTGGGGCTGAACTCAGTTTGATGGTACTAACGTTGGTTTGGGGTCCTGAAATGATTGCTGGTGGGACAGACATGAGGATTGTAAGAAGAACGCGAGCCATTCAGTTTGATGTAAAGAAAGAGGTGAATGGATGTGATTAGAACATGTGGGAGATATGGGAAAGGGGAGAAAAGACAGGAAGCAAAGCAAAGTGAAGCAAAGCAAGGCTCTGCAGAGGATAACACATACGGTAACTGTGAAAGAAATGAGGAAATCTCTTTGTAAAGCCGCTAAAAAGGAGGAAGAAGAAAGAAGACAAAATGGTGGGTCGAGCACATCTGTGGCTGAGAAGCAAAAACTCCTTAACATTACAACGAAATCCCTGCTCACTGGGCTGTGGGTGTTTAGTAGAATGTGATGGTAGAGCTGAGTACCCAGAGTGATTGGGGACCCTCAGGTAAATCCCTAAGAATTTCCACGCCTCACCAAAGTCACTTTTAAAATTAAAACCTCACCCTAATGGTATAGACGAAACACAGGTTTAACCAGTAGCAGTTGATGAAAAACAGATAAATGAATTAGAACAGATTCCCTGACCCTGTAGTTCTTCTCTGGAGCAAAAGTCCTTACCTGGGGTTTACAGACCCCCAAGCTGTTCATTGAGAGATATCATGGAGCACAAGCACGTGAATGGGGTGGAGGAACTTCCATCTTTATTTTCACTCACTTCCGACTAAAGCAACCAGTACCTTCTACTGTGGATGTAGGGAGGGAACCACAGGGGTGATTTCCACAGGAACTATGACTTCGTCACCAACAGATAATACACTCAACTTGATGACAAGCTGTAAAGAGCTCACTGTATTTCCCATTTCAAATAACGGAAATTGTAGGCTTACTCTAAAATGCATTTGGGGCAATGATACACACTCTAAAACTGTTTCTTCAACTTGACCATATGACAAGACACCTGGGAATCCTATTAAAATGCAAATTTTGACTTAGCAGGTCTGAAGTGGGGCCTGAGACTCTGCATGTCTAACACACTCCTAGGTGATTCACGGCCCACACTTCACACTTTGAGTAGCCAGACTGTAGAGTTATTTAGATGTAGAGCTCTAGGGACACAGATCCTTTTTTTTTTTTTTTTTTTTTTTTTTTTGCACAAAAGTGGAGTCTACAGAGCTTGGTGTGCATTTTACATCTCGTATCATGATATGAACAATTACATCAAAAATATCCTCTAGGTGCTTATCGATTGATAGAGTTAGGCAAATAGTTATATCTGTGCTTTCATATCCATTTTTTCCTGCTTTTATTATTTCATTTCTTAGTACTGTTTATTATACACATCCCCTGAGTGTGTGTGGTGATCGTGTTTTATTCATTTTCGTCTCCAGTGTCTATCAGAATGTTGTGCAAATACTAAGTTTTCAGTAAACATCTGACAGGAAGTTTACGGATGCCATGCTTTCTTTCTTAACTCTCGAACTGTGGATGTGGCATTTGAAATGCATAATCCTTAACCAAAGCACGTTGGTATTTAATCCCCAAAGCAATTTTGGGAGATGAAATACTGTCGGCTTAATTTTCCTCATCACCCAAATACTTCTTTTAACCTGGGGCTTACTTTTTAATTACACTTCGGTTTGTCTAATTTAGCCTGGGAGGCCTGTTCATTACTTAGAACCACCAGCAAAGATAGAACTAACACTTCTGGGTGCCTTTCAGTCAAAAGATTTCCTGACAGAACAATCTCTGATTCTTACAAATGGAGCCAGTAGGAAGCTTTGGCACACACGTCGCAGCTAAAGGCAGGTAGTAAAAATTGTAAATGCTCCCAAATGGCCATAAAATAAACATTGTGTGGTTCTAATTCCAAGATATTCAGGCTTTAGCCTTCCTAACAAGGCTGGGATAGGTGTGTGTAACAGGCACTGGGGCTTTATCTGAAACCCACATCCACAATCACAGTGGTGCAGGGGTGAGCACTTTGAGTGAGTGGCTTACATTTGGCCTGAAAGGGCCAGGCTGACTTGGGCATGTATTTATGTCCCTCTGAACAGTCTTCAAAACTTTTACAATGTGTACTCACATTCCTTCTTAGTGAGAAGGAAGTGGAAGGACATATGGTAGAGTTGCCACCTCTAGTAGGATTTCTACCACCTCCCTAGCTCCTCAAGTGCAATTTTCCCACCTACAAGCTCAGCTGGTTTTCCCCAATTCCCAACCAACCTTCTCCTCCAGGAGAAAAGCTCCTGAGCTGCTTTCCACACCCTCATCAGTGGGATTCCATATGGTGCCTCATGCTGAGGCATTGTTCCTGGGATGTTTAGGTTTTGCATGACTTTCTTGTGACTTCGGCCCCTATTCCTGCAGCTCAAATCTCCCCAAGAGGTCTTCTTGGGATGTTTTGGCTTCTGTTTTCATCTGTACTCTGAATTCCTCTTTCAGGAATCTCCCGTGAGTATTAGGCTTCCCTCTCACTCTGCCACCTCTCTTCTGAATTGCCATGTGTCTTTCCTTGGGGAATGGTCTTGCCCAAGGGTTGGGGCCCTGGGGAAACTCCAGATGATTATAGTCGGTGATATGGTTTGGCTGTGTGCCACCCAAATCTCATCTTGAATTCCCACATGTTGTGGGCGGGACCTGGTGGGAGGTAATGAATCATGGGGGCAAGTCTTTCCCATGCTGTTCTCATGATAGTGAGTCTCAGGAGATCTGACAGTTTTAAAAAGAGAAATGTCCCTGCACAAGCACTCTTTCTGTGCCTGCTGCCATCCATGTAAGACATGACTTGTCTTCTGCCATGACTGTGAGGCTTCCCCAGTCACGGTGAAGTTTAAGTCCAGTTAAACCTCCTTCATATTGCCCAGTCTTAGGTATGTCTTTATTAGAAGCATGGAAATGGACTAATATTGGGGTGTCCAGACTTCTTTTTTTTTTTTTTTGAGATGGAGTCTTGCTCTGTCACCCAGGCTGAAGTGTAATGGCATGATCTCGGCTCACTGCAACCTCCACCTCCTGGGTTCAAGCGATTCTCACACCTCAGCCTCCAGAGTAGCTGGGATTACAGGCACCCACCACCATGCCTGGCTAATTTTTGTATTTTTAGTAGAGACAGGGTTTCACTATGTTTCCCAGGCTGGTCTTGAACTCCTGAACTCAGGTGATCCACCTGCCTCGGCATCCCAAAGTACTGGGATCACAGGTGTGAGCCACCGCACCCAGCTGGGATGTCCAGACTTCTAAGCAACATTCACCCTGTTAGTAAACTTGAGTCATCTGCTGGAGACCCCAGGATTCCTTAACCCCTTGGGCTGCTGTTGGCCTGAACTTTGGGACGGCTTCTTCCTAGGAGACCACTTCCCGTAACGTACTGGGAAGCACAGCCCCGGAGTGGTCCCTGTGGAAGTTTCTTCAGATCACATCAATCCTCTGCTCAAAAGCTTCCAACAGTTCCCACCTCACTCCTAGTGAAAACACAGAGGCCTAAAGACCCCAGAAGATCTGTCTCCCACCTCAAAAGTCCCATCTCTCTGACCTGATGCCCTATAATCCTCTTCAGGCAGAGCCACTGTGCTGTTCCCCCAACACTCAGGCCCATTTCCAGCCCAGAGTCTTTGCATGCCAATCCTTCTGCCTGGAGGAATCCTCCTCCCTGTGTTGGCTGTTGTCAGTTCTTCACCTCTTAACTCAGATGTTGCCTTCTGCGTAAACCTTTCCGTGCCTACTCTATTTAAAATCGCCAAGCATCCTCATCATCCTTCCCCAAACCGCCCCTCCTTATTCTCCCATTTCTGTTATTGTTTTTCTCCTAAGCCCTTATTACTACCTAACATACTACATGTTTTACCAACTTATTTTGTTTATGGTCTGACTCATCCTTCTACAATATAAGCTCCATAAAGCCTAGGATTGTTATTTTTATTTACTACTGTTTAAAAATATTTAACAAGCAGGTGTCTAATAAGCATTTGTTTCAAGGAATGAATGAATGGCTGAATGCCTAATTTATTAGGATTTCTTTTTAAGGCGATGAAAATGCTCTAAAATTGATTCTAGTGGTGGTTGTACGTATCTATGAATATACAAAAACCATTGAACTGCACACTTTAAAATGAGTGAATTGTATGATTGGGAAATAAAGCTGTTTAAAGAGAGACAGGCATGGCATTCCAGGTATCATAATGAAGAAGTTTGCTGTGTGCTCTCTGTGTGAGCAGGACACCAGAGCAACTCCCTTCATTATGATGACATTGGCTTGAAACCTGAATTAGCCGAGGCATCTACACAATGGTTATAAACCAGGGGCTCTAGAACCCGAGGACCAAGGTTCAAATCCCAAATGTACCACCTTCCAGTTGTGGATCCTTGGGAAAGTCACTAAATTTTGCTATATACATTTTTTATCTGCAAAATGGGGCTGACAATAGTACCAAACTCTAATGGTTATTGTGAGAATTAAATAGGCTGTTTCCTGTAAATGACTCAGCACAGAATATAGCCCCATGGTGAATGCTTAATATGCGGCCACTATTTTAATTTTTATTATGTTCTGGACTACTGGGGATGAGTTGCTGGAGAAAGTCAGAAGGCAGTGGTTATAGCCGGATCTCAAAGCCATTATTGCCCGTTAAAATTTACTTTGACTTGCTCAGGTCTGTCAAGGCAATCCCTCCCTATGCCTGATCCAACCCCTGCCCAGCCATTCTTTCACTGCTTTCGTCTTATTTCAGCAGTTCACAAATGAGGCAACCCCTCGAAATCATGTGGGGCTTGTTAAAAAGTAAATCCTGAGCCTCACATTTAGGTATTGGGCAGCAGTTCTTGAAGTCTGGTCCTGGGATCAGAAATATGAAAACACCAGCCCTACGAGAGATCTGTTGAAAATTTAAGGTAGACCCTAAAAATCTCTTCTAACAAGCTCTCCAGGTGATTCTGATTCATGCTCAAGTTGAGAATAACGGGCCTCGTTAGAATTTGATTTTCAATAAGCAATTCATGTGATTTTGATCTACTCATTGCATACAGTCACTGGGGACTGTTATCCTAGAACAACAGAATTACACTGAATCACCTATTATACAGTGATGGCTAAATCATCTATAGGCTTCCAACCTTACAAGCTGAAGCTGCTCAGAATTCTCTTATATGCACAGACCCTCAGCAAAGAAATAGACAGCTTATACAAATATCTCTTAAAACCCATTTCTTCTGGATACACTACCTTAATTTCTATCAAGCTTACTTATTTCTTTGGTTTTGGCATAAGCTTGTTTTCAAGGATATTTTGTTGCTAAATTTATCTAATCTATCTGTCACAAATATTTATTGTGTCCCTACTATGTATCAAGGAATCAACAAAAATGGAGAGAATGTCTCAATTCGTGAGAAAACATTTTGGAAAATAAAACTGATTATTAATGGTGAGGATGGCATTTCCTTTCATAGGGAGCCTTATGAATTGGGTAGCCAACATTCCGTGTTGGCCATTTAGGTACTGACTTTTCTAAATATAGGACAGTGTACTGTATAATTTTAAAAAAATTCTTACAAAGCCCAGTGCTACCAAAAAAAAAAAAAAAAAAAAAAAGGGAAAATTTGTTTGCAACATGTTCTTAATTTCTTAAACAAAGATAAGTGTTTTCTATTTGCTTATGAGATTTCAAAGATTCCCAAAAGCAATTATAAACTCAACATAAGTTAGTGAAAATAAAAATGATAAAATACAGCCTTATTGGCAGAAGACAGAGAAGCTTGGTAAAGATGTTAAGACAGTGGGGCTTATAAAAACAATAGTGTGATGGACACTGTGTCACCTAAACAATCTCTCAAGTTGGTGCCAGTCACACCCACCCTTGTCTCCTTTTAGTTATCCAAAAGTATCCAAAGTTTCCTATAAGGGAGTTCCAGTTGCACAAACATAAATCATGTTTCTCAGGCTCACCAGTTTAATATGTTCTCGCTTCTGGTATTTTTCACTATAATACTGTTCTTGCCGAAGATTAAGCAGCTGCTGCTGTTGTTTGTCCTTCAAGTCTATTAACTTTTGGGTCATTTCAGCATCCAGAGCAGCGAGGTCTTGCTCAATCGTTGATGAACCATGATCAGGGCTGCTGGGTTCCGATCTGCAAAGACACAGAGTTTGACTCACAAAACAGACAGGCCATAACAAGGTGGAGGGAAGGTTATTCACCAGAATTCCTCCTAGAGAAAGTTCTCTGTTTGGAAATACATATTTTCATAAGCCACTTGGGGTAGAGGGTGAGACCCCAAGGACAAGCTTAGCAATAGAGTGTCTCCAATCCCAGAGACTGAATGGAATTCATGGTGCTCTAGAAAGAGGCAGGGGCAGAAAGAAAAGCAAAGAGGCTGGGGGCCCTAGGCATGGCAGTGGTGAGAATAATAATCTCCGTTTGGGAAAAACAGTGTCTAATAAAAAATTTTCAGGTTTTAATCTTTTTTGTTATTTTAAAATGTGACAAGTGTAATGGCATTCCCAGTTACCTTTCCCGTATGAAAACTTCAGAGGACACTGCATTGAGCAGACTTTGTTAGAGGAAGCTAAAGATGTGCCTTGTTTAGCATCAGGGGTGATGATTATAAACAGAGAGCACGTGTAGATGCCGTGTGCAGATAACCCTCCTGGCTGACATCTGAGTTCTGTTTCTTAACAATTTTATTGTTGTTGTTGAGACAGAGTCTTGCTCTGTTGCCCAAGCTGGAGTGCAGTGGCATGATCTCAGCTCACTGCAACCTCCACCTCCCACGTTTGAGTGATTCTCCTGCCTCAGCCTCCTGAGTAGCTGGAACTACAAGCATGTGCCACCATACCTGGCTAATTTTTGTATTTTTATTAGAGATGAGGTTTCACCATGTTGGCTAGCATGGTCTCAAACTCTTGACCTCAAGTGATCTGCCCATCTCAGCCTCCCAGAGTGCTGGGATTACAGACGTGAGCCACCGTGCCCGGCCTCTTAACAAGATTTTTAACAGCAAAGACACACAATGAAAATAAGGCCCTT
Organism: Homo sapiens; assembly: GCF_000001405.40. Lineage (NCBI taxonomy): Eukaryota > Metazoa > Chordata > Mammalia > Primates > Hominidae > Homo > Homo sapiens. The sequence continues at coordinate 8,773,641 of NC_000020.11, read as the reverse complement.
TGGAGGCTTCACCAACTTCACTGATATCTTTACCCAAATGGCACTTTCCACACAAAGCTTACAAGGGGAAAGAGATGCGTTAGTTCATTCTAAAATATTTCGAATGCTTCCTCTTAGCAGTATGACTTTCTCTGCATTGTTCTTAGAGAATTATACAAATATTTAGAAGGTTAGGGTGAATGTCAAAATAAATTAAAGTAATTATCATTAACTTATGGTGTGAGTCCTTCCAATTTTGTACTCTGTATTATCACCTGTAGGAAACAGTGGAAAGAAAGACAGAGTATTGGGAACAGGGTACAAAGAGTAGGTATGCTCTTTTCATTTATATGGAATCCCTTCCCGAAAGACTACCTAAGACATTCAACACATCAGACTCTGCCTCCATATTTTTCACTTGTGGTCCGATAGGCCAGGTAAAGTTTCTTAGAATCAGCTGTCAGTAATTCTGGTTGCTTTTTCTTTGAATTGGGCCAGCATCAGTGGCATCACATGGGGAAGGGAGTTGGTTGAAGCTGGTGTTAGAATCAGATTTTGTCAAATAAGGGATGCGGAATTTTCTCAAGTTTCTTTTTGCATTTTTATGTGCAATGCCAAATGAGGACGGACATTCTATAAGGCTCCTCACTGCAGTGTTGAGGGAAACTTTCCTCTTGGCATGACATAGTTAACATTGAATTATCTTTTTTCTTTTCTTTTCTTTCTTTTTTTGAGATGGAGTTTTGCTCTTGTAGCCCAGGCTAGAGTGCAATGGCACGATCTTAGCTCACCACAACTTCCGCCTTCCAGGTTCAAGTGATTCTCCTACCTCAGCCTCCGTAGCTGGGATTACAGGCATGCACCACCATGCCCGGCTAATTTTTTTATTTTTAGTAGAGACAGGGTTTCTCCATGTTGGTCAGGCTGGTCTCAAACTCCCAACCTCAGGTGATCCGCCCACCTCGGCCTCCCAAAGTGCTGGGATTACAGGCATGAGCCACCGCGCCCGGCCTGAATGATCTTATATAGCAGGAAATCATTGTAACCAGGGCATAAAGGCATTTCTTCAATCAGTTCCAACCACTCTAGCAGAGGTAGCTCTCATTGCCAACCATCCCCCCATATGCCGGGCACACTCGTATCCGAGTAAGTCGGTATACCCATCACCAGCTTACATTTGAGGAAACCACGGCTCTGTGAGATAATTGGCCAAGGACACAGCATGGAGGTGCAGTAGTGCAACTTGCCCAAGGTCAAAAATTACAGGGGCAGAAGGGCAACACCTGTGCTCTTAAGAGCAACACAGCATGACTGCATGCCATGTCTGGACCAAAACTATTTTTGAGTAACCTGTTCTTCACATTATGTAGAAAGCTCACTTGAGATGATGAATATTAAAGAAATTGGTGTGATTCATTCCAATTTTGTACTCTATATTATCATCTGTAGGAAACAGGGAAAGACAGAGTATTAGGAACAGGCCTGGTGTGCTGGTGGCTCACGCCTGTAATTCCAGCACTTTTGGGGGCCGAGGTGGGCAGATCACTTGAACCCAGAAGTTCAAAGTCAGCCTGGGTAGTGAGACCCCACCTCTAAAAAAAAAAAAAAAAAAAAAATTAACCGGGCCTAGTGGCATGCGACTAGTTCCAGCTACCCGGGAGTCTGTGGCAGGAGGATTGATTGAGCCCAGGAGGTCGAGACTGCAGTGAGTTGTGATCATGCCACTGCACTCCAGCCTGAGCAAAAGAGCAAGACCCTGTCGAAAGGAAGGAAGGAAGGAAGGAACGAAGGAAGGAAGGAAACAAATTCAATGTACATAATGCCCATCCATTCATTTATCTGAGGTGTTTTCAGGATTTTATTGCATATCAAGAGAGATGGAAGACAGGTAGACATAATCAGACCCACTGGCTTTGCCACTTGAAGAAAAGCTCCTCATGACGTATCTTTAGATACTATGTACTAAGGGATTTTTTGGTTTTGTTTTGTTTTAAAGGACAACACAAGAAAAAAACAAGTGAACAACGTCTCTGCATCTTCTATAAAAACAAAGTTGAAGGCATTATCCCCTCTGCTGCTTGTATAAGATCCATGAAATTAAATCTCTGGCAATTTAATACTAGGAAAACGCTTGTCTCTCTTGGAAGAGTCAGCAAGTTTCCTTTAATCAGATGAGGAGAATTATCAAACCCATACTCCTTTTCTCAGAAGCTAAGAGCTGAATTCAGTGTTCAAGGACAGAGATGACATTAAATGGCTGGCGCTGTCTGGTAGAAACAGAATGAGAACCACATATGTGATTCCCTTCACATATGTAATTTCAAACTATTAGTAGTCACTTTAAAAAGTAAAAATAAGTGAGTGAAATTAATTTTAATAATATATTTTATTTAACTTAATATATCCAAAATATCATTTCAACATGTAATTAAAATCAACAGATATGTTGTAGCTATTTTACATTCTTTTTTAAAAAAGTGAAGTCTTAGATATCTGGTGTGTATTTTGTAGTTATAACACATCTCACGAGCAATATTTCAAGGACTCAAGAGCCACTGGTAGGTAGCTAGTGGCTCCTGTATTGGGCAGCAGGTCTAGATAATTTGTCCAAAGCTTAGTCTACGCATGTGTGTTGTTTCTCTTTCTATTTTCATGGGATTTTTACATACAAATCTTCTATGATGTTACCTTCAATATTCTACTGGAAGTTTGCAGGATATGACTTACAAGTAAATACAAAAATGAATAAACAAATATGTACAGTGAAAGGAAAATAAATCTTGGGGCCCCAAATCACTAAGCTAAAGGGAAAAGTCAAGATGGGAATGGTTTAGGGCCAACCTGCCTCCCATTCTATTCAAAGTCATGCCTCTGCTCACTGAGATAAATGCATATCTGATTGTCTCCTTCCAAGAGGCTAATCAGAAACTCAGAAGAATGCAACCATTTGTCTCTTATCTACCTATGACCTGGAAACCCCCTCCCGGCTTCCCATCTTCCTGCCTTTGCTTCGAGTTGTCCCGCCTTTCCAGATAGAACCAGTGTTCATCTTGCATAGGTTGAGTGATGTCTCATGTCTCCCTAGAATGTATAAAAACAAACTGCTCTGAACACCTTGGGCACATGTCATCTGGACCTCCTGAGGCTGTCACAGGCGCATGTCCTGAACCTTGGAAAAATGAACTTACTAAATAAACTTGCTAAATTAACTGTCTCAGATTTTTGGGGTTCATAGTACATAAGACTAAAGCAGAAATTCAGGAGAAGTTTTAGGCCAAGCTTTGCTTGAACTGGCTGTGTAACTACAGGTAAATGGTAATACCTTTAGCTTTCAGCTTCCTCCTTGAAAAAGTGACAAATATCACCTAGATGGCCTTTAAGGATCCTCCAGGCTTAAGAAATGATGATTTTGGCTGGGCGTGGTGGCTCACGCCTGTAATCCCAGCACTTTGGGAGGCCGAGGTGGGCGGATCACGAGGTCAGGAGATCGAGGCCATCCTGGCTAACACAGTGAAACCCCGTCTCTACTAAAAATACAAAAAATTAGCTGGGCGTGGTGGCGGGCGCCTATAGTCCCAGCTACTCAGGAGGCTGAGGCAGGAGAATGGCATGAACCCGGGAGGCGGAGCTTGCAGTGAGCCGAGATCGCACCACTGCACTCCAGCCTGGATGACAGAGTGAGACTCCATCTCAAAAACAAAAAACAAAAAAAAAAGAGATGATTTTATTACTTTTTAAAGCCCAAGTATTAGGTTTTGATAGTGCTTTCAATTTAAGCATGTGTTAAATCATATGTCACAATATAAATCTAAAAAATGCATCTTATCTCTATAACTTGGCATCAAAAGAAGATTATTCAGTAAAGGAAGGATGTAATATGTCTTATACTTTGCTCATTGACAGGTCACTTACATACTTACATAGTTTCAGGGTAATTAATAAAGTTTTCAGTTAAAGAATGAAATTTTATTTCTCAGTGGCAATTATTATCAGTCAAGCTTTTGAGATAATCTTTACTGAGACAGCTGATGACAATGATTCCAAAAAAGTTTTCAGTAAATGTACAACCAATTCTACATAAGATTTCCTAGAGCTGTGAAGGTCGTTGGATTATCTTTGGCAATACGTTGTCCATTGGTTAGCCAACATATGAAAAATAGGCTATCTGATAAGAGTAATTTATATACTATAGTATAGAAAATTAAGTGGAGCAATAATTTAAACTTAAAAGGCTTTTTTTCACTTCTTTTGATGCTACAATTCATTAAAATGCTATATATATATATAGAAATAGAACTAAGGGATACTTTTGCTTTTGAAAGTTATGTCTTCTAAACGATACACTTTTTTTTAAAACCACAAATAACATTTTATTTTAAAAATAAAATGTTAATTTTTATTTTAAAAATGTTATGAGTTGATGTTTAAAGATACTTAAGAGCAATGTCTTACACAACGCTCTGTTAATGCTCACTAAATATCTGAAATTAAAAATATTCTTGACAGCTAAATAAGCCCTGAGGAAGACAAGAACTGTCTGTGACCTCAAAAGATAGCAACAAAATTTAAATCCACTGCATTTATTTCCATTTCCCTAATTATTCAACTTTGAAGAAAAGATTTTTATGTAAAAATTAATGCTGTTGATTAGAGAACTTCATGTTGCAAAACATTATTTATTGTCAAGAAGTTCATACTATATACCTGCAAAAGATATTCAAAGAAATTTCAGGAATCTAAATTTAGAAGAGAAATCTCCTAACATTAGGGATAGTTAACGAGGGAATTTATTTGGGCATATTTATTTCATGCATCTGTTTGTTTTGTTGTATAGAGATAGAAGATTATAAGTATACGGACCAGAAGCAGTCACAGGTCTACAGAGATGCAGATTCCAGATCTGCTATGTCATCTGACACAAGTAGTATCTCAGGGGGCACCACGCCATGACCTCACTGTCACTATGGCCTTGTGTGTTGCATGTGCCCCTGGCCAGGTTACTTGGCCTCAATGAGTTTTAGGTCCTCTCTTATCCAATGTGGGTGATGCCTGTACTTACTTCACAGTGCTGCTGTGAGAAATATATGGAATAGTACATAGAAGTGATTAGCACATGTACTGGGTTAAATAACATCCCGGTAAACTTCAGGTTCTGCCCAGAACCTCAGCCTGTGATCTAATTTGGAAAGAGGTTGTTGCAAATGTAATAGAATGAGGTCATGGTGGATTAGGGTGGACCTGAATCTAATGCCTGGTGTCTGTCATTAGAAGAGGGAAATTTGGACCAAGACACACCTACGCAGGGAGAATTCATGTGATAATGGAGGTAGAGACTGGAGTGATATGTCTGTCAGCCAAGGAATGCCAAAGATTGCCAGCAACCACCAGAAGTTAGAAGAAACAAAAAAAAAAGTTTCTTCCCCTAGACTTTTCAGAGAGCGCATAGTCCACTAACACCTTGATTTTGTTTTTTTGTTTTGTTTTGTTTTGTCTTGAGACAGAGTCCTTCTCTGTTGCCCAGGCTGGAGTGCAGTGGCACCATCTCGGCTCACTGCAACCTCCATCTCCTGGTTCAAGCAATCCTCCTACCTCAGCCTCCCAAGTAGCTGGGATTACAGGTGTGTGCCACCATGCCTGGCTAATTTTCATATTTTTAGTAGAGATGGGGTTTCACCATGTTGCCCAGGCTGGTCTCAAGTGATCCTCCCACCTTAGCCTCCCAAAGTGCTGGGATTACAGGAGTGAGCCATTGCGCCCAGCCAACACCTTGATTTTGAATTCCTAGCCTCCAAAACTGTGAGAAAATACATTTTTATTGTTTTAAGCCATCCAGTTTGCTGTACTTTTTACAGCAATCCTAGGAAACTGATATGACACATATGCCCAGTACTTTGTTGACACTCAATGAAATGCTATTCCAGAACTGGGAACAGCCCTCGACAGGGTTCAAGAGAGGAAGCCCCCTGTGGTCCGCCAGACCCTGTGTCCACAAAGTCCCATGATAAGCTATGATGCGCAGTCCACATGTGGGGTTCTGAGAGCGGGTGACACTCTGAAATCCACACGGCAACCTCACATTTGGAAGCAGGTCTTTGTTGGAGTTTAGAGGCAGCGTCTGCATTGTTCACACAAGAGTCTTGCAATTGAAGAAGGGCCCTGAGCCCAGAGAATCCTAACTGCCCTATCTCATCATGGTGGGAACTCGGCAGAAAGTACAGGTTTTCATATGAAGTGCTGGGAGATGGCAGCTGGGAAGGGAGGCAGGGATTAGACCAAAGAAAGCCTTTCAGCCACCCTTCAATTTCTAGGATGCTCCTGAATGATTATAGACCAGGGCCCATCAGTGGAAAGTCTGTGGACCAGCAGCATCAGCAAACCTTAGGAGCTCGTTAGAAGCTCAGAAGCTCAGTCCCTACCGAAGGAGGCCCCTGAGGCAGAAACTCTAGGGTCAGGTCCCGAGGGTCTGTGTTTAGCAAATGCTGCAAGTGATTCACATGCACACTGAAATTTGAGATGCACTGATCTAGGCTAGATAATGGAGTTTCATGAACACATTTGGTGTGGGTAACAGCATGAGTTTCATTCTCTAAAGGACACCTGGGAATTGCAGAGACATACAAGCAGGCTTCTCTCTTCCAGGCCTCTGACCCCATATTTTACGATCTTTTTAAAACAAATCAAGAATTCATCCCCTTCTCTCCATGTCTACCAGCGTCATCCTAGACCAAACCACCATCATTACTCAGCTGGACTCATGAAAAAGTTTCCTAACTGGTCTCCTGCTTTCACTCTGAGTCCTTGATCTTCACTACTCAGAGTGTTGTCCATGGAACTGCAGAATCAGCATCACCTGGTGCTGCTCAGGCCCCAATTCAGACATGGAGCAGAACCTGCACCTAACAAGATCCCCAGTGACTCATGTCCATTTGAGATGCACAGCTTGAGGGTCCCTCTTCCACACAGCAGCTAGAGTCATTGCTCTGAGACTCTCAAATTTCGCCATATCAATTTCTTTCTTCAGTAGAATCTTATTGCACGTTCGATACATTTTGAACTGTTGCTTGCTCTAGCTCTAAAGAACCTAGCAGTGGGATTCCCTCCTGTTTCTCTGATCTCATCCTGTTTCACTCCTCTCATGGTTTACAATGTTTCACCCACTTTGCCAGCTTTACTGTTCCTGGCACAAGCACATTTTTTTCCTGCCTGAGGGCCTTTGCACTTGCTGTTTCCTCAGCCTGGAGTAAGTCTCCCTAGTTCTTTCCATAGCTGACCAGGCTTTATTCTTTCTGTGCCACCTTATTGCAGATCAACATGTCAGAAGGGATCTCCTATCTCCAGTCATTCTCTACCCCATGGTCCTGTTTCTTTCTTTCCTTGATAGTCCTCATCACAGCCTGAGATGATGCTGTGTGTTTGTTGTTTATTATTTATGTTTCCCACATTACCATGTTACTATTTGAGATGATTGGGTAGGTCATGTTTATTGCTGTGTCCCCAGGGCACAGTAGGCACTCAAAAAATATTAATTAAGTGAATGTGTGAGAGATGCTTCTCATCATCAAGGTTTGGGTATATGGGGCTGTGGGAACCCAGGCCCAAATTAGAGTCACCTGTGTAGGGCATTATGGATTTCAGACAGGGTAGCAAAGGATAGTAAGCTTCTCTTTTCTATAAGACCAGTTGTGGGCAGGCATGGTGGCTCATGCCTGTAATCCCAGCACTTTGGGAGGCCGAGGCAGGCAGATCGCTTGAGGCCAGGAGTTCAAGACCAGCTGGGCAACCTGGTGAAACCCCATCTCTACTAAAAATACAAAAATTCGCCAGGCGTAGTGGCGTAATCCCAGCTTCTTGGGAGGCTGAGGCACAAGAATCACTTAAACTCTGGAGACAGAAGTTGCAGTGAGCCGAGATGATGTCACTGCACTCCAGTCTGGGTGACAGGGCAAGACTCTGTCTCAAAAAAAAAAATCAGCTGCCTCTCCAACTAGGTTCTAGGTACTCCAGGCAAAGTCTCATACCCATGAGATTGGCAGCTGTAATATAGGAAGTTAGTTAACTGGAATTGGGATCGCAGGCTAGACTCACAGGAGGACTTCCTGCATATTTATTCTCAGAATTTGGTTAAATAAAAAAATTCAATTCACAAGCAAATCTGGGCTAAGGTGCCACAAAAGCTATGGAGAACGGAGGTTAGGTGGTTTTCTTGCCATGGTACAGGTCCAAAAATATGATATAAAACATTAAAAATCCATGTTAACAACTCTTCATGCTATGAAACCAACTAAAAATATTCATTGAACTTACTTTTTCTTACTGTCCTTTTTGGCGGACTTTTCCAAAGCGGCTCTCCTTCTCAAGTAGTCATTCTGAATTTCATTATACTTGGTAGTGTGTTCTTTGATAAGGTCAGTGGTTTTCTTGTGGTGTCTCTTAACCAGGTCTTTCATTTCTTTGTAGTGTTTCTTTTGAAGTTTCACAAACGATTTCTGTTGCTTTAGTTCTTCGATGGTCTGTGCTTCCACTTCTGCAACAAATGAATATGAAAGCTAAGGGAATGGGAGGGCTGAACATCCAGATGGAAAGAAGAGCGGCTACCTTCTTAGGAAGAAATGGTTGATCTTGCCCAGCTAGAGTTTAAGAGCAAAGCTTGATGTCAGCTCTACCTGGGTTCCAGTCTGGCTCTATCACTTGCTAACTTTGAGACTATGTTACTAAACTTCTCAGAGACCCAATTGCTTCATTCGAATACATATATTTTTAGTTTGGGTTCCCTAGAAGCAGAATGCAAGATGGGGATTCAGGTGCACGTGATTTACTGAGGGACTCTCAGAGTAGGGGAGCCAGGAAAGCAGACGGGGCTGGGGAAGGAGCTGAGCAAGGGTGTGGTCTCAGAAGGATGGAGTCTGGTCTCTGCCTGATCCCATGGGGAAGTGCTGGAGTGTGAGTTGTACCACTGAGCTGGTCTCATCTTGAGGCAAGAAGGCAAGCTTCTTGCATATTTGGAACATTCAGTGCAGGGAGGCATAACCATCTGGAGAGGGGGCTTCCTTTTGGTTGAGGGCAATTTTGCAGAGAAGGAGAAGTTATGAGCTGTTAACAGCCAACCCTCACCACCAGCCAGGAGACGGGTGCACCAGCTGTACAAGGAATCTGGGCAGGGCACCAACAGCATTGCTATAAGGATTATAATACTTCTATAACTTTATAGGGTTGTTAAGATGATGAAATAAAAGAACTCATGGAAAGTATTTAACTCAGTTTCTGGCACTGTGCCTGTGGAGGCTTAGAAAATAACTGTGCAGGTTCTACAACATCATTTCTAAAAGGTATCATTTACAGTATAAACATCATAAGCTGGTACATTTATCATAAAAGCATATAGCAGTAAAGTGTCTTGAGGGAAGATACCTTAATATAATTTGCACAAAGTCACCAGAGGCTTACTAGCAGCCCACTTTACTATATTATTATGATTATGATTACTATTTTCTTTTTTGAGACAGAGTCTTGCTCTGTTGCGCAGGCTGGAGTGCAGTGGCGTGATCTCAGCTCACTGCAACCTCCACCTCGCGGGTTCAGGTGATTCTCATGTCTCAGCCTCCCAAGTAGCTGGGATTACAAGCATGCACCAACATGCCCGGATAATTATTTTCTATTTTTTATGGAGACGGGGTTTCGCCATGTTGGCCAGCCTGGTCTCAAACTCCCAGCCTCAAGTGATCTGCCCTCCTCGGCTTCCCAAAGTGCTGGGATTTCCAGGCATGAGTCACCATGCCTGGCTGATTTTTTTATCCCATGCTGAGAAAACTTTGAATGTGATAGAGTCTGACCTTAAAACATTCTGGGCCAAGTGCATTGGCTCATGCCTGTAATCCCAGCACTTTGGGAGGCCGAGGCAGGATCACCTGAGGTCAGGAATTCGAGACTAGCCTGGCCAACATGGTGAAACCCCATCTCTACTAAAAATACAAAAATTAGGCCAGGTGTGGTGGCGCATGCCTGTAAGTCCAGCACTTTGGGAGGCCAAGGTGGGTGGATATCTGAGGTCAGGAGTTCGAGACCAGCCTGGCCAACATGGCAAAACTCCTGTCTCTACTAAAAACACAAAAATTAGCTGGGCATGGTGGCACATGCCTATAATCCCAGCTGCTCGAGAGGCTGAGGCAGGAGAATTGCTTGAACCTGGGAAGCAGAGGTTGCAGTGAGCCAAGATTGTGCCACTGCACTCCAGCCTGGGTGGCAGAGTTAGACTCTTGTCTCTAAATAAATAAATAAATAAATAAAAATGCAAAAATTAGCCAGGTGTGGTGGCAGGCACCTGTAATCCCAGCCACTCGGGAGGCTGAGGCAGGAGAATCACTTGAACCCGGGAGACGGAGGTTTCAATGAGCCGCGATCACATCATTGCTCTGCAGCCTGGGCGACAGGGTGAGACTCCGTCTCAAAACAAAACAAAACTAATCTGTATTTTACTGATATATTCAATCAATTCTAGAATGTGCATTTAAAAAATATGTTAACATTTCCGAAATCAAGATGCATCTTATGGTTGGTGGGGTATGATGGTTGGTCAGTGCTTTTCTTTTTTAGCAATACATGAACGTAGGATGCTTTACAACTGATGGTATCTTAACTCCAGTGAATTATCATTTATATGGACCTAGATCAAGTCATAGTTCACATGTTTCCATGGTTTGAATTGAATGTCCTGCTTCTGGGAACAAAAAATGTTACCATAAATATTTGAAACTATCAAGAGATTCAGAAATAATATATGCTGTGAATAACAAGAGACCTGAATAGAAAATAAGATGTCTAGTGAATAAACATTGAGACTAGAATAATAAGTTATGTTATTAAATGTTAAGGTCTTTAAGCAATAGAAATATGTTTCCTTTTCTTATACTGTGTCTATTCTCCTGACATTCGATCTCTTTTGAGAATGAGGCCATGGAGAAAACCAGGTACATTTATTTAATGGTTTCCTTCAGGCCCAAATTGACTCATTATGGTTGCATAATAAATTATTACATTAAGAATTTATAATCCCAAGGAATTGCTGCATTCTTGGAGGCAGATGCAATTCTATTTCTTTAAAAGTGGTTTACAGCATATCAGCTATAGGCAGTTTGGAAATAAGGCTCTAGATGTTCTAACCTACGATTAGAAATAAATCCACATAAACTATTATTTTTAAAAAGTCTGTAGATGAGAGAGGCTGTTCCTTAGACTATGCTCTTAAGTATAAAGGTAATGCTCACTTATATAAAGACACAAATATCATTTATAAATAAGCCACCAAGATATAATCACAGCTAATGTATTGGTACAGACCATTGCCTTTTGTCCATTCATTTACGTTATTTTAAACAACATTCTAGGAACACTGCTGTCTCTTGTTGTATGCATTAATATGGTGTTGTTTCCCATGAAACTAAATCTTTCTTTTTTTGAGACAGAGTTTCGCGCTTGTTGCCCAGGCTGGAGTGCAATGGCGCAACCTTGGCTCACGGCAACCTCCGCCTCCTGGGTTCAAGCGAATTTCCTGCCTCAGCTTCCTGAGTAGCTGGGATTATAGGTGCGCGCCACCACAGCGGTTAATTTTGTAATATTTAGTAGAGATGGGGTTTCTCCATGTTGGTCAGGCTGGTCTCGAACTCCCGACCTCAGGTGATCCGCCCCCCCCTTGGCCTCCCCAGGTACTGGGATTACAGGCGTGAGCCACCACACCCAGCCTAGAACTAAATCTTTTAAAAACATGTTTTGTTGGGAGGGGCACAGTGGCTCACGCCTGTAATCCCAAAACTTTGGGAGGCCGAGGCGGGTGGATCACCTGAGGTCAGGAGTTCGAGACCAGCCTGGCCAACGTGGCGAATCACCGTCTCTACTAAAAATAGCGGGTGGATCACCTGAGGTCAGGAGTTCGAGACCAGCCTGGCCAACGTGGAGAATCACCGTCTCTACTAAAAATACAAAATTAGCCGGGTGTGGTGGCACGTGCTTGTAATCCTAGCTATTTGGGAGGCTGAGGCAGGAGAATTGCTTGAACCCGGGAGGTGGAGGTTGCGGTCAGCCGAGATTGTACCACTGTGTTCCAGCCTGGGTGGCAGAGTGAGACTTTGTCTCAAAAACAAAACAAAACCAAACCATGTTTTGTTTTCTTTTAATACTTTCCTCAAGTAATTTTTCTACGCATATTTTATGCATTTCTTGATGAAATGCAAATATACGCATCAAAGTGCATAAATCATAAAAGTATAGCCTTGTAAATTTTCCCAAAGTCAATGTGCTTCAATATCCATCACTTAGGTCAAAGTTAGAATTTGGCCAGCATCCCAGAAGCCTTCCTTTTTGGTTCCTGTCTCCCACCAAGTATAATCCAAATCCAGGTTTCTACAGCACAGATTAGTTTTGTCTTTGAAGTTGGTGTATATGGAATCCTACAGAATATGTTCTTTTGTGTCTGACTTTTTTCCTCAACATTATGCTTGAGTTTTATCCATGTTGTGTGTGACTTGAGTTTATTTATTCCTGCAGTTGCCTCCTGTTCCATGCTAGGAATTTATCACAATTTATTTACCTACCTTACAGCTGATGGACATTGGGTTGTTTCTAGATTTGGCCCTTACCAGTGGTGCTGCTTTTGGTGAACGTGTGTGTACATTTCTGTTGTATATTGAACCAAGTATTATAAACATTTTTAAGATTCCACTACATACTGCTAATTGTACTGCACAAAGCTTGTACCAATTTTAGTTCCACTAGTTTATGTGACTAACCAAATATAAAATAACTCCAAACTGTATCACAGTTCTTAAACACTGTGCATTTTATGCTCACAAATGGATCATATTCTGCATATCTAAAATATAGTTTATTATTGGCAATTTGGGAAGACAGGCATTCTTGTTCACTGGGTTACATTTCCAGCATGAAACTATTCTTTGATGCTGAAATAGCTATCTTGTGAAACTACATTATTTTTATGCCAGTAGGGTTCTAGCTACAAAGTATGGTTACTTCTCTGTGATTATATCATATCATGTAGACTAAACTAAAAGTGTATGTCTCTAGATTTTTTAGAAGAAGAAATATTAATGATGTTGTTTTTCAGATATGAATGGAAATTTCCTCTCCTCTAAATACTTCCACTGTGTAACACTGAGCTGCTTAATTCCATGGGGGGAAAGGGTGGCATTTACCTGTTAAGACACTCTGAATAAGATCTTCTGTTTTGGCAGGTGCCTTTACAGAACCTGTAATATAAAAGATAAAATAAATAGCCTCTTCAACTTTTTAAATTTTATTCTTCCTGTAAACAAACAAACATATTTGGGCCTTGAATCTAAATCTCTTTTCAGAGAAATGACAAATTGTGTGAGAAAATTCTTTATAAAAATTATTCTTAAAAAGTCTTCATTTGCAGCTTTGAGACAAACCTAATTAAATGTAACATTAGGCCAGGTGCAGTGGCTCATTCCTGTAATCCCGGCACTTTGGGAGGCCGAGGCAGGCGGATCACTTGAGGTCAGGAGTTCAAGACCAGCCTGGCAATATGGTGAAACCCTGTCTCTACTAAAAATACAAAAATTAGCGGAGCATGGTGGCGGGTACTTGTAATCCCAGCTACCTGGTTGGCTGAAGCAGAAGAATCACTTGAAGCCAGGAGGTGGAGTTTGCAGTGGACTGAGATCATGCCACTGCACTCCACCCTATGTGACAGATTGAGTGAAAGTCTGTCTCCAAAAAAAAAAAAAAAAAAAAAATGTGATATTATATGCCCCATTTATAACGAGAGAAAAGAGAAAAGACATCCACTTGGAACAAATTCAGTTTAGGCAATGCTATCGCCATCTTCTGGCTAAATCAGGAATGACAAGTGACCTTTTAAAAGTCAAACGCTGGGAGGCCAAGGTAGATGGATCAGCTGAGGTCAGGAGCTCGACACCAGCCTGACCAACATGGCGAAACCCCGTCTCTACTAAAAATATAAAATTAGCCGGGTGTGATGGTGCACGCCTGTAATCCCAGCTACTTGGGAGGCTGAGGCAGGAGAATCGCTTGAACCCAGGAGGCAGAGGTTGCAGTGAGCTGAGATCACACCATTGCACTCCAGCCTGGGCAACAAGAGCCAAACTCTGTCTCAAAATAAAATAAAGTAAAATAAAAATAAAAGTCAAATGTTGACCACTAGGCAGTAATAACTGTTACAGGAAAGATCCATTGGTGAATGTTAAAAATCAGTAAGCAAAAGTTTAAGGAAGAACAGGATATTTGCATAGTCTCAAAGTAGCTCTCCCAATATATCTAAGAGGGGAAAATAATAACTTTCAGTGGAGAAACCACCTTAACCAAGTGATCCCATATCATCAGTGATGAGACCCAGCAACATCATATATCCGTGATGTGATGCACTGAGAAAGGCGAGTATCACTTGCATGGTGCTCTTGTCAAAATGCATGCCCTCAACCTAATCATGGGGAAACATCGGACCAACCCAGACTGAGGGATGTTCAACAAAATAACTGACCAGAGTTCTTCCAAAGTACCAAGGTTATGAAAGACAGGAAAGACTGTGGGACTGCCATAGATTAAAGGAGACTAAAGAATCATGACAATAAAATACAATTTGGGATCCTGCGTTGGAATCTTGAACAGTAAAAGGACATTACTGTAGAAAGCAGGTTAGTCCAAATAAATTGTGCAGTTTAGGTCAGAGTATCATGCCAATGTTACTTTCCTGGTTTTGATGATTGCCCCATGATCCCGTGAGATGTTAACTTTAGGGGAAGAAGAGGTTATTTTTGCAATGTATTCTGTGCCATTTAAAAAATATTTTCTGTAAGTTCAATTATTCCAAAATATCAAGTTAAAAAAATTAAATGTGAAAATGCTAAATTCTCTTTTACTTTCAGGAACACATGACTATTTACTCACACATTTAAATGATGGATTTATATTTCAGAAGCATTCAAGATGTTTGTATTTGGTATATAAAACTCTTTATTTGAAAATTTACTTCTTGTTTATAACGTCATCTTCTTACTATTATTGACTTTGGCAACTTTTTTTTTTTCTTTTTGAGATGGAGCCTCGCTCTGTCACTCAGGCTGGAGTGCAGTGGTGCGATCTCAGCTTACTGCACCTCCGCCTCCTGGGTTCAAGCAATTCTCCTGCCTCAGCCTCCTGAGTTGCTGGAACTACAGGCATGCACTACCATGCCAGGCTAACTTATGTATTTTTAGTAGCGATGGGGGTTTCACCATGTTGGCCAGGTTGGTCCTGAACTGCTGACCTCAAGTGATCCACCTGCCTCAACCTTCCAAAGTACTGGGATTACGGGCATGAGCCACCATGCCTGGCCAGCAACCTTTTAAAAAGCAGTTCAAGCGTGTCTGATACAAATTAAATATAATTGGTTTTTTTTTTTTTAATTCTCTTTCTCTCCCATGAGAAATACCCTTAAAAGATCTGGATCTACTGGCACCCTGATCTAGTATGACAAAGAAAGGAGCTCCTTTCCACACCTTCATGGAAGGAAATTCTGCTCCCTTTTGTTTACTTTATTAACCAATTCAACAAGAAATTATCAGGTACATGCTATTCCCCAGCACTGTGTGATGTACAGAGGAGGCATCAAATTGAAGTCTACCTAGGAAGCCTCCCATCTACTGGGGTAAACAGGACATACACACAAGGAATAGTTACACAAAGCTGCATAAGATTAAATGTCAAAGTTAGCTGCGTAGAAATCAAAGGATTTTTATTTTATTTATTTATTTATTTATTTATTTATTCATTTATTCATTTTGAGAAATGAGACAAGAGTGTGGCTTTGGCTGTAATATAGGAGCTAAAAGCAAGAATGTTAGTATCATTGGGAACTGCATCAGGCCTAAGGTCACTCTTCCCTGGCACTGTGGCCTTCAATAAGTACTTTATCACCTGAAAATGGCAGCTTATTCATCTGCACAATGGGGACAATAATAGAATCTACTCTTGGGCCTGGTATGGGGGGAATTGAAATGATCCATATGAAAAGCTTAGCAATGTGTCCAGCACAGGGCAGACACTCAAAGATGTTGAAAAGAAAGTTGGAGAAAGAGGGAAAGGAGCCCTTGGCACAGAATTAATGAAGCAAGACTAAGAATGCACTTCTAAGGCATGGTTGTTTATAAGCTGCTTGGAGAATTCTTCTCAAACTGTGCCAGCAGATGGGTCATAACTCATCACTGAAAAAGGACACCGGAAATCTGGGTGATTTTTTTTGTTGTGGTTTCATAAGTTATCTGTAGAGCCAGATGAGCACATATGACTCTCTTCTGGCTTTCATTCATTAATTGCACATTGACGGAGCTCCTCCTAAGTCCACACATCTTTCCCCACTTGATGCTTTAGCTACCCACATCACAGCGCCTCCGTCAGTGGCACTAATGAACTGGAGGATCTTGCTCATGTTGTCCAGCTCTTTCCAGATGGCTTACCTGGAGCTGGCTGGCTGTGGAGAGCCTGGGAGGGTGGCTTGGGTGTCAGGGTTGTAGTGTGATTCACCCCATTTTCTGCTGGAGTCGTTCTCGCTTCACTTGGAGCCTCTGATGGTGTTTCTCCAGGATCAGCCTAAAATTATAAATATCCTTTCATTTTCCACATTTCTTTTTATTCTTTTCTTGCCTTCCTAAACCAACAAGGCTACATTTTATAGCATCTTCACAATTCTTTTGGAGTTGGAAATATCAAATTTGATACTCCCTGGAAAGCAGGGTTAAAACAGCATAGTGTTGAGCCATGACTATGGGAGGTTAATTGTATTAAAGTCTCCAATTTTTACACCAACCTATGTCTATGCCCGTTGGTGGTGCCCTTCCACACTGACTCTGGACCAGACCATGTGATTTGCTTTGGTTAATCAGAGAATAGCAAACTTGATACAAAAGACCCTTGCAAATTTTTCCACTGTTTCTCAGGGTCCTATTATAGCAATGGAGGATGAGAGGTCTGAGTCATCCTGGTCTGTCATCCAGCTCTTCTGGAAGAGAGCTGAGTCATCCTGGTCAAGGATGTCCTGGACCAGCCAGTCCCCAGCTGAGCACATACACTTGAGTGAACCCGGCTGAGATGAGCTGAGTCTATGAGTCTGGTCTGGATCTGCAGACCTGCCCAGCTGACCAGATAATGCATGAAAAATAATAACTAGTTGATGTTATAAGCTGCCAAGTTTGGGGTTGTTTTACAGAATGAGCTAATCGATGTGATGGATAAGAACACACATTTTGGAGCACAGCTTGCCTGGGTTCAGATTCTGGCCCTGCAATTTACCAGCAGTGTGATTTTGGGCAGTTCACTTAACTCTCTGTGCTTCAATTTCTTTATCCTTATAGATGAAGACAGGTGTTTACTGGGGATCATAATATTATCTTGTTAGATTGTTTAGATGATTAAATAAGTTAATACTTATAAAGTACTTAGAATTGTTTCTGGCACAGAGTAAATATGTGGATGTTAAATAATGTGAAAGTTGTCAGAATCTAAATGGAGTCCCTTATATTAAAACAACAACAACACCCACAAAAACCCAAAAAACCCTGACAAAAAGAGCCAGGGAATGTCATAAAGAGAAGGTTCTCACTCATAAATGCCTGATAAGAAAAACTCTCACAAAAGACTCTGCAAAAGCCATCACCTTGTACAAAGGCCATAGCAACTTTACACAAAAAATACTTCTGTGAGGACACCTGCCTAGCAACTCCCTGTCCAACGTCAGACTGAGGTCACTCTTGTTATTGATCCTTGTAGCCAAGGCTAATCATCTGAAAACAATTATGTAACCCTCCTCATTTATCCTTTACAAACCTTTGTCTTCCTTCCCTCCCTGACTAAGCACATAATTTAGTATGCCCTATTCTTAAATAATACCATTTTCTTTTAGAGAGCATCTGTTTGTTATTTATGTTGACATAAAACAAATAAAACCTTTAAGCTTGTGGAATACTACCAATGAATAATAATAATAAATGCATTGAAACGTAAAATCTTCATTCGACACCCTCCAGCAGCTAATTCCACATACCTTATACACAGTAAACAGTTTAAAAATGTTTGTTGAATAAATGCTGATCCTTATAAAATAATTGCCTACATACTCTTTTAATGTTGCTTTTCAATATGCTAAATTCTCTGTAACTCTTTATCAGAATTGCCTTCCAAGTCCCTGGCAGGTTTTACTGACAATGAGGCTATCCCAATGTTCTACTTTGTAGCACATTTTAAAAATACATTAGGAAATATATTTTTCCAGAAGTCTTTTGGAGCCTAACATTGTGACATTTTGGCATGTGATTACAGATGAAAAATTGACCTATAATAACTTTCTTATAAAAAGTAAGATAAGAGTGAAAATAGTGACACTGATTGTCACCAGTGGCTTTTAATCTGTTTCCCAAATCATCTTTAAACCATCTTCCAAAACTGCATTAAGTGATGGCAGAACTTATTTTAATTCAACAAATCATCCCTGCTTGTTTACTACACCCTACTCAATGCTGGAAGAGCCCTTAGTAGCAGTGGCTGGACATCAGTTAGGGGAGACAGGAGACTAAACAAGTAACCGGGGCAGCCTGTATAGCTCACTATGGCAGAATCTTTCTTTTGAAAAATGACTACTTCTGATGGGTAAGTGCCAGTATGGTCACACTATTTAGTTACATCCATCAGAAAAATTCTCCCTAGAATTATATGCAAAGGGAAAGGATTGTGTATGTGTTGTTCAGCAAGACATTGCAAACTGGAAAGTCATGGTCCCAATGGAGTACATGGATGCATTTTCTTTGGCTCAACCAGTGTTGTCAAATCTTTTAATTAAGGTGATCTTATACTGAAACAATGGGTTTCTTACTTCCCTTGAAAAACTAGATTTGACTACATGGGACCTATACACCCACAGTGGGTGGTTCTTTGGCTTAAATACAGCAGGGGTAACGCTTTGCTGGCCTCCCAGCTGAAGAGGGTGCCCATGGTTACCAAACTCAGCTGCTTTAGAAAGCAGGTAGGAAGATGTCCCTATTCCGTGGGGATCTGACCTTCCCCATTATATCCAAGTTGGTTTCTAAAACCATGTGGGGAATGAACCAGATTCTTCCCAATGTGACAGCTCACTAAAATTAGCCCTCTGAAAAAGGATAGAGAAAAAGAAAATTTTGATGGAGGAAAGAATGGAAGTTAGGGAAAACCAGCTTCTGTGAAAGTAATAATGGTGGCTTTTTTTTTTTTTTTGGCAACTAAAATTAGTGTCTTGAGGTGTTAGACTGGAGGTGCATTCAAACTGGATCCAACAAGTTTATTTTTAGATTTGCATTAGGTTTTCAGATACTCCATGTAGCTGTATGCCCTTGGGAAACCAAGTTCGATTGTCAATTTGAGTCAAATAAAGGAAAAAATAAATCTCTGCTTATCAAGGGCATGTGAGACAAAGCCTCCACCTTCCAAAAAGGGACGTACTATATAAAATCAAAGACATTTTTAAAAAGCAGATAGATGTTAAGTAAACATTCAGGCAAATACTTTATGGTTGCAGTCGGGGATAAAGTGGGCACCAAGGGTTGGTGCTGGACTTTGAAGTAGGCTTTAGAGAAATGCTTAGTCCAGGGGTCACACCTGGTGATGTCTCCATGTAGAGTGGACTGTGTCACTCTTGGGACACAACCCCTAAGGATACTATTCACACTGTAGAGTAATAGGCAGTTAGTGGAAATGATAGAAACCAGTGAAGTAGATTTAATGCAATAGGGCAAAGTGAGGTCATGTCCAGAGCAGGAGAGAGACAGCCTGTAAATGGGGCAGTGGCTGCTGTTCATTTTTAGCCTATTTCCACCCAGGTTTTGAGAAAAATGGAAAAATGAAAGTTTTGAGTGAACTCTCCCAGTTTCCAATCACTGAAAAGACAAACAGAGCACATCTTCAGACTGCATTTGGCCCAGAAGTTGCCAATCTGTACCCTCTGCCAGGAGGAGCAGAGTTTGCCTGGAATTCTGAGATGGTGCAAGAGTGAGCTATGCATCCTTAGTAATGCTGAAGTGACAGGACTGTGCTGGGAACTCGGTGGGCCAGGAGCTTCTTACCTTCTCGCCCCAGTGGCCAAGCAAAGGCATAGAGAAGAGGGTCAGTAATGAGGACATTAAACACTGGGCTAAGGAATTTGGAGATCCTTGCATAGTCTGACTCTTGTCAGGGACCTCATGATTTTCTGGAGACAGATGTTATATACAAGTTAAGTCAGTGGTCCCCAGCCTTTCTGGCACCAAGGACCAGTTTCATGGAAGATAATTTTTTCATGGACCAGGGGGAGAGGAGGTTATTGAGGGGATGGTTTCAGTATGACTCAAGTGCATTACATGTATTGTGCACTTTATTTCTATTATTATTGTTACATTGTACTATATAATGAAATAATTATACAACTCACCATAATGTAGAATCAGTGAGAGCCCTGAGCTTGTTTTCTTGCAACTAGATGGTCCCATTTGGGGGTGATGGGAAACAGTAACAGGTCATCATGCATTAGATTTTCATAAGGAGCCCACAACCTAGATTTTTCACATGTGCAGTTCACAATAGGGTTCACAGTCCTATGGGAATCTAATGCCACTACTGATCTAACAGGAGGCAGAGCTCAGGGAGTAATTTGAGTGATGGGGATGAAGCTTTGCTTGCTTGCCCACCTGCTGCTTACTTCCTGCTGTGCGGGCCAGGTCCTAATAAGCTACAGACCAGTACTGGTTGGGATGCCTGAGTTAAGTAAGATTCTATAACATATACATGTGACTAATGTTTAAACTTTTTTGCTAAGGGCTGTAGACACTTTTTTTTTTTTTTTTGAGATGGAGTCTCACTCTGTCACCCAGGCTGGAGTGCAGTAGTGCAATTTTGGCTCATTGCAACCTCCACCTCCTGGGTTCAAGCGATTCTCCTGCCTCAGCCTCCCGAGTAGCTGGAATTACAGGCATGCACCACCATGCCCAGCTAATTTTTGTATTTTTAGTAGAGACGGGGTTTCACCATGTTAGCCAGGCTGGTCTCGAACTCCTGACCTCAAGTGATCCACCTGCCTCGGTCTCCCAAAGTGCTGGATTACAGGCATGAGCCACCCTGCCCAGCCCATAGGTACACATTTTAATTGATTCCATTTACCGAATGGAGACTGCAATTAGAAGTGGCTGTAGATCATCCTGGGTTAGACACTGTTATATACAACAGCTTTTTCACAGCCAGTCAGTGTAGGCAACACGCACAGTACCATAATAAAGCAAAATAATCGGAGGTGTTATTAAAAGTCTTTACTAAAAACTTTATTAAAAGTCATGTAACTTGCCAGAGGTCACACAGGAAACTGTGAACAAGTATTTGAATATGGACTATATGCTAAAGACTAAATTTTTCTATTACAGCAGTCCACTCTATGATAACAGCAGCTTAAGGAACCGTAATAATAACTTAACTTGCTGCTGAGATAGAGATGTCTACATGTAAACATAATTCTCAAAGAACTACCCTGTTGCACTAAAAAGGCATCCGTACATACAAAGTTAAATAAGTTAAGCAAAACAATGGCTGAAAAATGAAAAAAAGCACCTATAGGAGTACAATACTAAAATTGAACTTTCTGATATTATAATTGAAAGATCGAATAATTCCACTATATGGATCTGTAAGCCAAAGTGCAAAAACCAAATTCCTTATCCCACTCAAGAGAATCAGCAGAAGTCAATATTTTATTTCTCCCCCATTATTTGTTTTTATGAGTGAATAAAAATCTGGTACTGGAAATTGTGATAGAAACAGAAACTAGGAATGTCTAGTTTCTTAATTTGATTCAAAGATTTAAATTCCAATTAAGCAATTATCAAGGAAAGAAGATTCAGAAGGTGGTAGTACTTCAGTCGCATTGACTAGATTTTTCTTAGGTGGGTAGTGAAAAAAAAAGTGCAGAATGAACCACAGAAGTAAGTTCCTGCCCTCTAGTGGACAAATGCAATCATTGCAATATCTTTTTCTTCAAAATATGCCTAACTTGAATGTTAAAATTAAATATAAAAAGAATTTGTACGCTTCCTAATTCCAAAATGAACAGAAGTGCACTGAAAATAGAATACAGATGGACCAGTAAAATGGTAACTGAAAAGATCATTTTTATAAGTTCTATAGAAGGAGGAAAAGCCATTTGATGTGCTGGTTGAAAAGATTTCCGTCCTGGGCATTGAAAGTTTGGATCTGATGGTTGAGCAGCAGAGAATTAGGATTTGGAGGATTTAACTGAATGGTTAACATGGTAAGTGAAGGGCCTTTCAAATATCATATGTATTACTGGGCTATTAGAGGTGTTGGATCATGCTTTCCTTGTCTGAGTCATCTGAAGAGTGCAGTTCCGGCCGGGCGCGGTGGCTCATGCCTGTAATCCCAGCACTTTGGGAGGCCGAGGCGGGTGGATCCCGAGGTCAGGAGATCGAGACCATCCTGGCTAACATGGTGAAATCCCGTCTCTACTAAAACTACAAAAAAAAAAAAAAATTAGCCGGGCTTGGTGGTGGGCGCCTGTAGTCCCAGCTACTCAGGAGGCTGACCCAGGAGAATGGCGTGAACCCGGGAGGCGGAGCTTGCAGTGAGCCGAGATCGCGCCTCTGCACTCCAGCCTGGGCAACTGAGCAAGACTCCGTCTCAAAAAAAAAAAAAAAAAAAAGAGTGCAGTTCTTTTTACCTTATGACAGCATCTTGCTTTGGATGGGCACCACATGGGTAAGAGGTAAGGCCATCAGTTTTTCCAGCGTATTACGGGTGAGTCTCATAATTTCATCATGCAGAAATCCACCCTACTCAGGACAAATATTGTCAGAAAGTAGCTTTGTTAGAGCCAGCCTTTCCCTTAAGGAGGAGCTTCTTCAAACATGAGCACAATTTGTACCTTAAATTTCTATTAGTTGAATGAAATTAGATAATGTATCTGCCTCATATTTCTAAGAAATTCAGAATCACTTTAACAAACTTTGTCCTGCTGTATGCACTCCCAAACGTTTAGGAGTGAAGTATACTGATGTTTGCAACCTACTTTAAAATGCATCCTATTGAACCAAGATGGATAGATAAATGGATAGAGGGATTTATATGTGATCAAGTGAAAGCATCAAAATTTTAATTATGGAATCCGGGTGGCTGATATATAGGTGTTCCTTGTACAGCTCTTTCAATGTTAGCTTAGAATTTTTCATAATGAAATATGTCAAAACTCCTAATTTTGAAGAGTCTACCAGGGTGAGTTAGAAGCAAGAGACAGCTTTAATGAGCTGGATAAATTCATCTGTTGACTTCAGTTTTTTGAGCTTCTTCATTAACACCAAGTAAAGTACTTTTGGTGTTTTGCACAGTTAATGTCCAGCAAGTTCTTCCAGCGGTAACTGGAGCATGGGTTCAAGTGAATCTTGACACAGCATGGCTGTGTGTCATCATATAAGCACTCACATGAGTCAACAGCATTCACATGGTATCATTTTGTTGAACATTAGTAGCAGCTGCAATTTTACACATAGATGTATAAATTTTATAATGTCACTCTCTTCCTCCAAGTTGTAAGGGCTATGAGAGCATCTGATTTTCCTCAGCATTACATATATAATGGCCATCAGAGTGACTGACACATAGTTGGGTTTTTTTAAAAAAAAAATATTGAATGAATGCATAATTCATATTTAGTTTCCTGTTAGTACATAATAAATAGCTCTATTATTAATGGCAAAGTCCTGAAAGTAAAGAACTACCTAAATGTTATGCTAAAATAAAACAAATTTGAATGAATGAATAAATCAATGAATGAAAAGAGTGAAGATGCTGCTTTCTGCTGTCTGTAACAAGTTTGTATTTAATGCATAATAACAGCAGGTTACTCAGCAGGCTATCAAAGGGTAAAAGAACATAGCTCTGCTGACCCTTTTATATGTGTTACATATACAAACTTTAATATATGTATATAAAAAAGTTCCTACCAACTTGAATTTATTAGAAGTGTTTTGATACAGTTTACAAAGAATTCAGAAGGAATGAACTCTTGGCTGCTAGGTAGAAATCATGGATTTCTCTTTTTAAAGGAAAGTAGACCAACAACTCTTAATGTTAATTTTGTGGAAATATATCTTTGAGATTAATTAAGTCAAATCGTTTGGTACGGACTATGGTCAATCACTTGCGGGACAAATTCTGGATAATTCCCAGGAAAAGTGTCTCCTGGAGCCCTTCCCAGGTTTCTGTGATTAAGCTGTCATTTTAGAGTGGATGGAATTAATGGGTTTCATCTGGGGAGAGCCACACTCTTGCGAAAGAAAGATGCAGGGCTTCAAAGCAGCGGTTTTTAATGTGTGGTCCCCAGACCAGCATCAGCTTCACTGCAGATTGTTAGAGATGCAAATTCTTGAGTCCGCCCCAGACCTACTGAATCAGAAACTTTGGCTACGACACCCATCGATCTGTGTTTTAGGAAGCCATCTGGGTGATTCTGGTACATGCTAAAGTTTGAGAGCCCTGCTAATCCAAATATGGTCCATGGGCCATAAGCATCACCTGGAAGCTTGTTGAATATGCGGTGTTTTGTGATCTGTGCCAGACCTACTGAATCTGAATCTGCATTGTAACAAGATTCTCAAGTGATCTGTATGCACGTTGAAAAAAATAAATTTTATTGTGTAAATTCAAGGCATACAACATGATGTTATAAGATACCTATGTACAGTAAAATGGTTACTATAAGGGAACAAATAGACATATCCATCATCTCACATAGTTACCCGCTTTGTCCCCCTGTGGCAAGAACAGCTATAATCTACTCATTTAGAAAAAATTCTGACTATGATACATGATTGTTAATTATAGTCCTCACGCTGTACATTAGATTTTTTTACTTGTTCATCCTACACATTTCCTGCTTTGTATCATTTGACCCACACCTCCCCATTTCCTGCACCTGTATGCACATTAAAACTTGAGAAGCCCTGCTCTAAAGCAAAGTGAAAAACTTCATCATTAATTGGGAGCCATGATTTTATAATTGGACATGACATGGATATTGAAGTTATTGTACTCATCCCTATTTTAGGCAGATGAACCCAAAGCCCCTCATTAGAATCCATTGAAATTTTAGAAATTTTTATGGAGGATATTCGTAAAAGCAGCTGAATTGAACCAATCATTGACCAGTTTCAATTCAAGTGAATGAATGGTCTTTTCTTGATACATATTTAAAAAGACCCTAGTTCTTCAACTCATTGGCCGTTGATATTAGGCACCAAATCACTCTACCATAATGAGCAATTGTTCCCTTCTCTAAAAATGGGGATTACTATGGTTTTCCTAGTTAGGACCCAGTTTTATCCAAGGCATCCAATGAAAGTGCATTGTGAATGCCAAATCTGTACAGTATAGAAATGAAAGAGATAGCATCACTATTTAAAGGAAAACCTTTTCTTTTTACTGTATTGGATGCTTTAAAGTTCAGGGATTTTGATAAACTATTGTTTCTATAAATTAATATCTTGCAAATTTATTATTTGAGGAGGAAGATTTGAAGGAGGAAGAATTTTATTTAAAGAGAATCCAAAATAAGCTGTAAACCTCATCTTTGATTTTAGTGTCAAGTTCTTATATTGTGAATGAAATATCAAGTTTCTGTTTTGAATAATTAAATGGTATCCAAGGCCTTGGGCAAAACATTGTAACCTTATAAAAGCACTACCTTGGATTTTTTTGATGTCACATTATTTTATTGGTGGAATTCATATCATTATTAAAATAATCAAATTGGGGCCATACACTGAATTAGGAAATATTTACCAATTATTTTATTTTATTTTATTTATTTTTAAGAGACATGGTCTCTGTTGCCCAGGCTAGGGTGCAGTAGTGCATTCACAGTTCATTGCAGCCTCTGCCTTCTAGACTCAGGCGATTCTCCTGCCTCAGGCTCCCGAGAAGCTGGGACTACAGGCATGTGTTAGCACACCCAGCTAATATTTGCAAACAATTTTTGATGAATTTCAGCTCACTCACAAGAACATGTGAGTCAGACAATACAAAAAGTAGGCCCTTTGGAATAAATAAACTTTTAGTATTACCAAACAACTTTTCCTTTTCAACATCAATATTACACGAAGACCACTCACACACTTCCACTTGCAGGATGAAACAGACGATGTTGGGAATTCTTGTGAACAATTTTGGCCTTGAGGGCTGGGTAAGATTTGTAGTTTCAGGTACTCTGTCTTAGAGGACAACTTTCCCAAGTATGGAAATGAATGCTTGGCAAATGAATACAGCTTTCGTAACTTCCAAGTTGAGGGATATGTATTTTGGCCAGCCAATGCACAAATCAATCAAATAGAACCCACAAAGATAAACCTAACTTTCTGAAGAATAAGTTCTGACAACATCCAGTGATTAAAGGGGGGAAGTTCTTGACATTCAACTAAAAATTCAATCAAAAGATGTTACTGTTTAAGGTAAAGGTCTTATATCCTGTGCTCACTCATTCAGGTAACCTGCTATGGAGGTCAGAAAGATGAATGAAGGGCCCATCCTTGCTAAAGGTTACCAGAAAATTACAGCTTTGTTACAGAGGTAGTGCGTGTGTGTGGTGGAGATGCTTGTTAAACTGTGCTCCAAGGACCAGCAGTATCCCATCACTTGGGGGCTTATTAGAGATGCTGAGTCCCAGGCCCTACCCCAGATCCAGTGAACCAGGATCAGCAATTTATCATGATGCCCTGGTCTTCACACTTAACATGCAGAAGTGCTGATGTGGAACATGAGTTGCAGAACCAGATTGCCTGGGTTTTCATCCTAACTCCTTTCTTTACTAATTGTGTGGCACAGGGCAAGCAATTTAACTCCTCAGTGCCTTAGTTTCTTCATTTGTTAAATGGAAATAATGGTAATTAGGACATCCGGAGGTTTTAAGACTTAAGTGAGTGAATACAGTAAAAGCTTCATGGCCAGGCATGGTGAACCACCCCTGTAATCTCAGTGCTTTGGGAGGCAGAAGTGGGAGGATTGCTTGAGCTGGGAGTTGAAGACCAGCTTGGGCAACATATTGAGACCCTGTCTTGAGAAAAGAAAAATAAAATAAAGGGCTCAACATAGTGTCAGATATACAGTAAGTACTCAGTAAATGCTCATTATTTTTTTCTTTACTTCTCTAACATTAAAAAAGTCATATTCAAATATTGCATTTATGACATTATCACATAATATTTCCTAATAAATGTATTGGATATTTACTTTTTCCTTTTATAGGTATTTTAAAAATAGAAAAAAAGTGTTATGATATTTCACTAGGCATCTCTGTAATTACATTATTTGGTCTGTAAAACATTTAAAAAATTATTTTAAAAAATGTGCACAGAGACCAGACACAGTGGCTCATACCTGTAATCCCAGCACTTTGGAAGGCCAAGGCAGGTGGATCACCTGAGGTCAGGAGTTTGAGAAGAGCCTAGCCAACATGGTGAAACCCCGTCTCTACTAAAAAGACAAAAATTAGCCAGGTATGGTGGTGGGTGCCTGTAGTCCCGGCTACTTGGGTGGCTGAGGCAGGAGAATCGCTTGAACCCGGGAGGCCGAGGCTGCAGTGAGCCGAGATCATGCCACTGCACTCCAGCCTGGACGACAGAGCGAGACTCTGTCTCAAAAAACAAACAAACAAAAATGTACATAGGAAACATGCTAGAAGGATATACATTAAAAATGTTACCAGTATTTGCAGAATTAGAGGGTTTTAAAATTTTATTTCTTTAGTTTACTATGTTTTTATATTTTTCTACGTGACTTTTTATTTAAAGGAATTAACTGTGAATGTTATACTTTGTTAGGATTCAGTTAGGCACTTACTCTACAACTTGACTAATCTACCACTCTGAATTTACAAAGACAAAATAAATCCAATAACGAATCTTTATTATTCCTTAACTTCCAACCATTATTCAGATAATACATAACCTAAATATTATACATATATTATACACATAATATATGTATAATATAATCTGAATAATGTATTTTTGCCTTATCTGAAATAAATATCTATTGTTCAAATCATGGGGGAAATTCCACTTTCTTATCTATTTGGTTTATAAATTACTCTAAAAAGATAATTTACAGGACTATTAAACATCTGGTAATATTTTGCAGTCCAATGACATTTTTAATGTTCAAATAGAAATGACCTTTACAAGCATCACATTAAAATGATGATACTAAAAAAGTCTTTGCTGCTAAAACAGTGTCCCAGTGCCTGCCATGTCCTAGATAGAATTTTCTTTAGAGAAAACCACAGTTACTTATTTTCAGTGGCATCATTCAAACAAACTTACATTATTCCAAGACAAGAAAAAAGACACACTGATGCTCAAAGTGTGAAATGACTTTTCTTTCCTAGCATTACATGTTAAGGGCAAATGATTTTTTTTCCTTGAGTTGTAAAAATGAGGCCAGTTAAGAGTTTAGACATGTCAAAGGAAAAAAAATCATATTTTCTCTATTAGACCAATATAGACTCCATGTGATTCCATGCCTCTAAAATTTTTTCTAAAACTGAAAAATGTCCAAATACTGTCCAAATTTAAACAATATTATACATTTCTAAAAATGCTTTCTGATCACCTTTAA
Organism: Homo sapiens; assembly: GCF_000001405.40. Classification (NCBI taxonomy): domain Eukaryota; kingdom Metazoa; phylum Chordata; class Mammalia; order Primates; family Hominidae; genus Homo; species Homo sapiens. Next base: position 8,744,970 of record NC_000020.11, on the reverse strand, counting down.
GAAAAGAAAAACAAAAATAAGATTGACCTAAAACTCTACTTCTGTATTTTTGTACATTTTATCCTCCTAAAATAACTTTTTGATGGTGCAAAGATAAGGTTTCCAAAGGACATCAATTTGTGAAAAGAGCCCTACAACCTCAAAGGCCTTATGTCTCTCATTCTTTAGAGTGACATTTTCCCCTAGTCATTACAGAAATGATCTCTGAAGCACCATTAGTAAAATGTTCCATTATGAGACCTTTAGCTCAATTGCTATATCGAATCGGGGCCATACACTGAATCAGGAAATATTTACAAACAATTTTATTTTTTTATTTTATTTTATTTTATTTTATTTTATTTTATTTTATTTATTTTATTTTTAAGAGACATGGTCTCTGTGGCCCAGGCTAGGGTATAGTAGTGCATTCATAGTTAATTGCAGCCTCTGTCTCCTGGACTCAAGCAATTCCCCTGCCTCAGGCTCCCGAGTAGCTGGGATTACAGGCATGTGTCAGCACACCCAGCTATTTGAAACAATTTTAGATAAATTTCAGCTCACTCACAAGAACATGTGAGTCAGACAATAGAAAAAGTAGGCTGAAATATGGTAGTGTTGAAATGTTCTCTTGAAGCAAGTGCTTATTCCTTAGAGACAATGGCTAACTAATGGGTTAAAGTTGATAATCTAAAAAGTATTTCCTCTAAATACTGAAAATACATGTAATTTCACTTGAAAATGCTTTTGTTTAACCTCTATTTCTTACAGAATAAAATTCATCCAGTTGAAAAAGGACATTTCTGTTTTCTTTTTTTTTTAGCTTTTATTTTAGGTTCAGGGGTACACATGAGGGTTTGTCATATAGGTGTGTCATAGGGGTTTGGTATTCAGATAACTTTGCCACTCAGGTAATATGCATTGTACCTAATAGGTCCTGTTTTCTATTTAGAGAAGAATGATATTAATAGTGATTTATTTGTATCTATGTAAATTATCTTTACCTTTAATTATAGTTTATTAAATATGCTATTAAGTAAAGCAGGAAAAAGAGAAAAGAATTTGAGAACCTTTGGTGGATTTCCAAAGAGAAATTAATTTCATACTGATGTTCATATGAGTAAAATGAGAAACTCATAGAACAGTCTTTCTTAATCTTTTAAAGGCCATGGAAAAGAGAAAAAGCACTATTATAACTGAAGAAATATCAGAATGAGAGATGTAACTATTTTCAAATATTTAAATTCTTAATTTTGATTAAGAATTAATTCAGATAGGGAACTCATTCTTGTATTTATTTATAAAACAGCAAGCTACTTAGCATTGCTGGTTTCCCTAGAAGCAGAAGTGGACATGAGGATTCTTGAGCACATGTTGAGCACATGAGTAACTGAGAGAATGGTCTCAGGAAAAAACTGCAGGGAGGTGAGGCAAGCAGGTTAAGACAGGGAAGAAGATAAGTCGAAATGTGGCCTCAGGCAAACTCCAGTCTCAGACTGATCCCACAGGGTGCTCTGGAGCATGAATTGCAACACAGAAGTTGCCCACCACAAACAAGGTACTGAGCTATGATTCTCCCAAGTGGGATTTATCCCAGAGATGCAAGGATGGTTCAACATATGCAAATCAATCAATGTGATACATCATATCAACAGAATGAAGGAAAAAAAAACCCATATGATCATTTCAATTGATGTTGAAAAAGCATTTGATAAAATTCAACATCCCTTCTGATAAAAACCCTCAAAAAAACCCCACCTGGGTATAGAAGTAACATACATCAACACAATGAAAGCCATATATAACAGTTCAACAGCTAGTATCAAACTGAATGAAGAAAAACTGAAAGCCTTTCCTCTGAGATCTGGAATAAGACAAGGATGCTCACTTTCACCACTGTTATTCAACATACTACTGGAAATCCAAGCTAGAGCAACTGGACAAGAAAATAAAATAAAGGGCATCCAAACTGGAAAAAGTCAAATTATTCCTGTTTGCAGATAACATGATCTTGTATTTGGAAAAACCTAATGACTCCACCAACTAACTATTAGAACTGATTAACATTCAGTAAAGTTGCAGGATTAAAAATCAGTGTACAAAAATCAGTATGTCTGTATCAGAATATCAAATGCACCCCGTAACATATATACCTACTATGTACCCACAAATAAAATAAAATAGTGCAGCATTGCAAATATCCAATAATTGGGGACTTAGTAATTAAATTATGGTGGAGCTATATGATAGAAGGCTATGAGTTATTAAAAGTCATGTCATAGAAGAATATTTAATGACATGGGCAATGAGATACTTAATACTTTTATTTTCACTTAAAACACAGACTGTGAATATTATCCCATTTTATGAAAGAGTAACAATTGTGCATAAAAAGACTAGATATGTATACACCCCACATTTAATGTGGCTATCTCTGAGCGGATGGGATGTTTGAATTACAGTTGATTTCTTTGTTGTTTTCTTTTGTCATTTTTACGTTTTAAATTTTCTATAATAAATCGAGGATGCTTTCGAAATAAGAAAAACATTACTTAACAATGTCAACTTTAATAGACTATTTAAATGGACTATTTAATGGATAACTATTAGTTATACTTATTAAAACAATTTTCAAGGTTTTTTCCCCCAATACTGACAGTTCTCCATTTTCTATCTTTTTTCTCGAGTTTTTCCTCTGAATAAAATATGAAAATAGCAAATTTTTATCACTATTTTTAATATTAGTGTCACCCTTAATAATCAAGTTATAATTCACTTTTTTTAAAAGCAAAAAGACTGCCAGTCTACATAGAAGCTTTATAAATTTAAACTTCATTTCTACTATTTTTAGACCCTTCCTTAATTATGCTTTGCATTGTGACATCTAATTTGGAATAATATATCAATTATTTGCAGGACACACATTATAATACATAAATATACCATCTAATAATAACAGTAGACTCTTTATGACTCATACTATTTTCCAGGTATTGTGTTAAATATTTTATGTACTATAAAAATCAGAAAAGCACTTTGAAAATCCTGCATGCTACATTAAAGATAAAGGGAAACCCTAAATGATTTGATGATTATCTTCCTTTTTAAATGCGTTCATCACCTTTAATTAGCATGGAATCATGTAGAAAGTTTCATCTGAAATAGCAAGATGTGTGCAGTTTAATTTTATCACAAGATAAGATGCTCGTGGTATCCACAGAATGCCAAAAGAAAATGAAATGTGAAAAATTTAAGTCAATCATCTAGATGTTCTGTGACATGATGCTAAACTGCATGAAAGTGTTGTTCCAATGTGCTATTCCTTCTCCCAAGGTATGTGATATTACTTAGGCAAAGCCAACAAGTAGGTGTGGTGATCATGCTTAATGCTATATGTAAAATTAAAACACCCTCTCACCTCTTTCTTTACTTCTTCTTCATCTTCCAGTGTCAAAGCAGCCAATTGCTTAGCTCTCTGTTCCATCAGGTTCACATATCGGATTGGGTTTGATAAAGCTTCGATGACATCTAAATAGGGAAGAGATATTTTAGATCAAAGGTCCTGGAAGTATTGATTATCCATCATTCATCTACTTACTCATCTATCTGACCATCAGTCCATGCATTCATTCATCACCCATCTACCCACCCATCCATCCATCCATCCATCCACCCAGTCATTATCCATCTTCCATTCTTCTGTCTACCCATATAACTATCTACTCCTCTATCCAACACTTTGAACATGGACAAGGGTTAGGACTCTGTTGAAACTTCAGGAAGAGAGAAATTAAGAGTTTAGTTCTGAGAGTCAAACTGGACAGGCTTCAACTCAGGATCCCTGAATATTCTTGATTCCTTAGTTTCTTTTTGAAGGTCCCATCCATTCCGGCAATGGCCCACCCAATTGTCCTATTTGGCCCAAATGACGTTTCATAAATGGAGACATTTTACATAAAAAGCCTGCTTTCCGGACTGTTGGGATAACCCAATGATTTGCCAATATAGTTATTTGAAGGGCAGTGCCTAGCTGGAATGAGTTATGGCTGCCAGCTTTGGATGGACAGCCCCAAGCTTACCATGGTCTCCACTACTCCCCAGTGTCTTACACCCAAGCTACTTGGCACTATAAGCATTTACACTTATGATTCTTGGTTAATTCCTTAAATTTAGGATGTCACCCATGAAAAGAATCAGCATTCTAAAATTGGTGGAAGACAAATTCAGTGTACAGACCTAGACATTTGTTGTAATGGATAACATGAGTTGGTAAGTGCTGGGCCCATGAGAATAAGACTAAAAGGGAATAAATATTCAAAAAACTGAGGTGTTGTGATTTTAATTAAAATACGTTAAATTAAAATGTATTCACAATGGCTCAAGCAATTTACCTCTAAACATACATACGAAAGTAGGGGTGATTCTGAAGCCAGAATCTCCTGCTTTGTTTGGTTCAGTTTTCCTTTCACTAACCCAAAAATATATGGTGACTCAGACAGAAATACCCCTTTGAGTAAAGTGGTATTTGAGTTAAGTTGTTTACCTGCATATGTGTCTGGCACATAGTCTTTCACTTCTATGTAGACAAAGACAGCAGGCAGCGTCAGAGGCTGGTTCCTTTCATTCCTTAGACAGATATAGTGATAGCCTGGAAGGTGAGAATAATGCTGTGTAGCACATATTTCCTTTCCAATGTTAGTTATAATTATGCGCATCTATGTGATGAAAGCATGTATTTCAGGTTACTTTAGATGAAAAACAAATCACTTTTTTCATTTTAATAACATTTATGAATGATAAGGCATTATTTTTCTCATCAGACAAGAAAACATTCAATGTGATTTTTTCCTTTCCAACCGTATGATTTTTCCCACAAAAGATAATTCCAAATCACATGTCATAGACTGAATTATTGATCCAAACTTGCCCCCATAACAGAATTATACTTGACATGACTTCTTTTTTTAAAAAATTGTTATTATTATTTTTTGTAGAGACAGGGTCTCATTCTGTTGCTCAGGCTGGTTTCAAACTTCTGGCCTCAAGAGATCCTCCTGCCTCAGCCTCCCAAAGTGCTGAGATTATAGGCGTGAGCCACCATGCCCAGCCTTGACGTGATTTCTTGACTTGTGCTTAAGCTCTGCTTTAGTCAACAGTATATTAGTAATTTGGTGTAGGTAGAGGCTTAAAATGCACATGCAGAGTTAGACATTCCAGTGTTCTGCCAAGAGAAGTCCATATTGTAGAAGCAACTGCCACTTCAGCCTGGACCCCAGAGTGAGCGCATGTGGGACAGACATAGACCCAACCCAGAACCTGAAGCACAGCTATGCTGCGGAGCCCAGGCTAGATTAGCCAAACCCGGCCAACCCACAGACCTATGAGCACGAAGATAAATATTTGCATATAAGTTTTCAGATTGTTTGTTACACATAATTATTGTTGAAAGAGTTGACTAACATTAATACTACAACATGTCACAAAAACATGTAACTAAATCTCATCGCCCTTGTTACATAACAAAATTACAAAGCAGAAAATAGTTTCTTAAGTCATTTTCTAGTAATATTTTAAGCAGTAATGATTTTCTTTGCAACTTTGATAAAAGGTTTCTCAGCACACTACCCATACCTGGCCGAATGGCTTGCACTGGCAAGATACGGTGGCCAATGAATTTACCTCCTTCTTCATAAACTGCTATTCTCAAACAGGCCAGAGTAGGAAGAACCACCTACAAAGGACATTAAGGACACACCTGGTTATAAGAATGAACAATTCCAAGAAATAATTAGAAAGGTATTATTCAATCAGGACTAGCTTTTCTTTTCTCTTTCTTTTTTTGAGATAGAGTCTTGCTGTGTCACCCAGGCTGAAGTGCAGTGGCGTGATCTTGGCTCACTGCAACCTCCGCCTCTGGGTTCAAGCCATTCTCCTGTCTCAGCCTTCCAAGTAGCTGGGACTACAGGTGCATGCCCCCACACCTGACTAATTTTTGTACTTTTTTAGTAGAGACAGCATTTCACCATATTGGTCAGGCTGGTCTCGAACTCCCGACCTCAGGTGATCCACCACCTTGGCCTCCCAAAGTGCTCGGATTAGAGGCATGAGCCACTGCGCCTGGCCAGGACCAGCTTTTCAGATCCAACTAGAAGTTTCTACTTAGCTACTTTAGACAAAAAGTTGAGATGTTGCCCTATAAATTTCATTTTCAGAGGAGAAGACATGGGTTGCCAGAGATAGGGCTTCATCTATGTTTTATCACCTTGCCTTAATGAGGCATTTGTTAAAAAAATAGGCTGTTTTATTTTTACATGAACATTCTCAATGTGGAAATGACAAAAGTTCTATCTTTCAACAAAAAGAGTTTAGTGGTTTTATCACCATGTGAATATTTCATTTATGTTTTCTTTTTTTTTAATTTGTGTTTTAATTTTTATTATTATTATTATACTTTTAAGTTTTTGGGTACATGTGCACAATGTGCAGGTTAGTTACATATGCATACATGTGCCATGCTGGTACGCTGCACCCACTAAGAAAAAATGCTCACCATCACTGGCCATCAGAGAAATGCAAATCAAAACCACAATGAGATACCATCTCACACCAGTTAGAATGGCAATCATTAAAAAGTCAGGAAACAACAGGTGCTGGAGAGGATGTGGAGAAATAGGAACACTTTTACACTGTTGGTGGGACTGTAAACTAGTTCAACCATTGTGGAAGTCGTTTATGTTTTCAAAGCAAATGACTTTTGCATCTTCAAAGTGAAAGCAAAAAAAGTGAAAACAACCACCACTGAAAAACAAGAATAACTTTCAGGACAGCTTTCAAAATACAATTGCTTTATAAATTTGTAAATTCCCACAGTAAGCAAAGAGCAACTACTCATTTCTTTCCTCAGTGTGAAACATCTAAAATATGCAGTTATATCTTATGTCAAGAACATGAAGTCGACTATCTCTTTAAAAATGTATTGTTTACAAAAACAGCAAACTCACATTTATTGAATATTTTCATTGTGCTAGATATTTCTTAAGTGTGGTCAATGTATTTACTTATGGAATATTCATAATAACTGTAAGAAGTAAACAGTATAGTAAGCATTATTATTAAACTCAGTTAACATATGGAAAAATCCCAGAGCACAGAGAGTTTCCGCATAGCTATTCTCTTTGCAGAAGACTGGATTTGTAGATATTTTGGCCAGAAAAAAGCAAAGAGTAGGCTAAAAAGTCTACTTCCCACTGAACCTACTTTCTTCCTTTACATGATAAGCATGTGTGAAGATTTGCTTTTTGGTGAAGAAAGAGAAGGGCCCAGTTGAGTGTGAAAGGTTTCAACTTTATTAGATAGAACCCAGACAAGATTGAATGACCAGCTCTCAGAGGCTAGAGATTTTGGGGAATTTAAATAATATTCCTTTTAAAGGAAATATGAATTTTCTTTATCTCAGCCACTATATTATTCCCTACTTCCACTCTACTTCTTTGAGTTATAATTAAAATGTATCATTTATCATTTGTACTATCAGATGATATGAGTTAAATGTATATGTTTTTATGGCCGTCCATTTGAGGCATACTAGAATGAATTGATTTACAATACAATTCTGAAAATCCAAACCAGTGATTAACAGAATTCTTGAAGGGTTTTCAGAATGGCTTTCAAAAGGTAATTGCTTTATAAGTGTGTAAATTTTCAAATTAAATAACAAATAATTCACCATTTCATTATTTTCTCAGTGTAAAACACCTGAAAAATGCAGTTATAACTCATATCAAGAACATGTGACCAACCTTTTTGAACACAATAGGTTCTTCTTCCCAGACAGGATTCACAGCATTTCCTTGGGATGTTTTGGTCTTAAATGCCTTCCTCCTTGTATCCACAGGCAAACCAAACATATCTACTTCCACGTAAGTCCCAACTTTCTTATCAGAAAGAAACTGACCTGAAATAATCTAGAAAATCAATAAATCAATCAATCCATAAGGAATTTTGATATGCAAATAACAAAGACATAAGAGAATACTTTAAAGAGCCACAAATGCTCTTCAGCAAATGTTGAATTATAAGCAAAATGGAATAGAAGCAAGAGTAGAAATATGATTTCCCTTTCACTTAATGGGTTATGATATGGTTTGGTTCTATGTCCTCACCCAAATCTCATGTTGAATTGTAATCCTCACATATTTGGGGAGGGTGATTGGATTATGGGAGTGGTTTCTCTCATGCTGTTCTCATGATAGTGAGTTCTCACAAGATCTGATGGTTTAATAAGTGTGTGGCAGTTCCCCCCTCACTCTCTCTCTTCTCCCTTCATGTGAGGTGTGCTTTGCTTCCCCTTCACTTTCCACCATAATTGTAAGTTTCATGAGGCCTCCTCAGCCATGCAGAACTGTGAGTCAATTAAACCTCTTTTCTTTATAAATTGCTCAGTTTCAGGTAGTTCTTTATAGCAGTGTGAAAATGGACAAACACAGGTTGGTAGAAGGATATTGAAAATGGTGAGGTTAGAAGTAGTCAATTAATAAGACACAGTATTGTAGGAGGAATAAATGAACAAGTATTCACTTTAAACCATCAAGATAAGTTTATCATTACCCCTAATCTCACAAGGTGTCACCATCTTTGTCTAGCTACAGAACTAATGGATATTATAGACTTAAAAGAGATTTTTAATATTACGTATTTATAAATGTCTTCCATGTCTGCCTCTGTTTCTATGCAAATTTTCAAAATCTGAACTATCCACCAGCTGTCATAAAGGTTAGCGGAGGCAAACAAGATGTGCTTCTGCTGTATACCAGGAAGGGGAAAGCAGGAAGCAAGTGCTGACAGAGCAAACCTGGTGAATCTGGGTTATGTGGTTACAAGAAAATTGCCTGCTGGTCAAGAACTTTCTGAGCTCCAGATTGTGAAAAGGGGACAGCATTATGGCTGGGCTCACAATCTGAGCTCAAGATTGTGAAAGGGGACAGAATTATGGCTGGGCCAGAAATCAGACAAAATGGTGGCATGAGAATAGCTATCAAAGGCTGAGTAAAGTCAAAGTCAGCTATATGCTGATGTTGTCAGAAATTCTGAGTAATTCAGAGAGAAAGTCATCAGGAAGGCTCTCTGAATTTGCCCTGGGACAACTCATTTCCCCTGTATGTTCTATTTGGCTTGAGTGCATGGGACCTGCTAGCAACAATCTCTTTGTTTAACTTGAGGTTCTATGTGAGAACTATGTCTATGAAATAAGCAAGCATTTCAAAACATGTTTGAAACTTCTAAGTTATGCAAGTCCTACTTGGAATTCAGATGCACAGAAGATGTTGTATGTTTAAGATGTTTGACCAAAGCAGAGTCCTAAACTAAATTCATGACACCAAAACCACAATGCTCTCGTCAGTAACATAGGACGGTAGAACATCATGTGAGCTCACAAGTCCATTCTGGCATTATAAAATCTATGCCAGAAGATGAAAACAAAGGCATAATTGGAAAGTTATGATCTGTATCTTGGCTCTAGCTATAATGTCAAAGGTAGGACTCTACTGCAGTGAGAACTGTCCATTCAGGGGAGACTGACAGCTCTGGAGCAGCGTCTCCATTCTGGACAGGAGCAGCAGGTTACACTTGTCTGGGGATCAACTATTTCCCCTTCACAACTCAATGTACTTTCCTGCCTCTGTGTCATTGTTTTATAATTGCTTACTGTCACAGTAGGATTTTCAAGACAAAAAAAGAAATAAGCAAACAAATACATTCAAAACAAGACGAATCTGCAAGCAAAGCAAAAATATTATTAATTCAACCGAACTATAACAACAATTGACAAGGATTCTAAAAGTAGCATTCTATCAGTACATGGAGCTTATGAGTTTATCTTTATCACACCTGACAGGAATTAAACAGCCTTTTCTGAAAATACTTTCCTAAAATAAACTCTAATTCTGCCAACTTGAACTCTTTATACATGTGGCTTGAAGTAATTTCAAAAGATATAATTATGAGACACTTCACTGAAATTTTATTCTTTAAACCCTTGATATAAAGTGACGAAAGTTTTAAGGTAAAAATGTGCTCAACTGCTTAGGGTAGAAAGAAATTAGTGAAGCTGTTATAGAAAGCTTTTTACATAGTTTTTCAAATGCCTTTGTTTAAGGTTAATCAAAAAATTACATTTATGTCCAGTAAAAAAATTTCTTAGTTCTATAGTTATTCAGTTAAACAGAAAACAGACAATATTTTTGAAAAGCTTTAACGATGAAGAATCCATGTAAAATGTATTCTAAAAAATTGATTTTCCTTTCATAGTATTAAAAATATTTTCTGGTAGCTAAAAAATTATATCTGATATAAAATCAATTTCAAAGACTAAAAAAATTTAGAATTGTTTAGGGTCAGATATACATATGTATGTGTATATATCTATGATTTTTATATATTTATGACATACATGTATATATACATATATATTTAATAAAGCAACTCTTTTATTTAATGATCATTAATATGTGTTTTAAAATCTCTGAATACTCTGGAAGATTTTCAAAAACCATTTAAAGTAATTTGAAAGCTTTTGTTTAACATTTGATAATTTATTGAGGGAATGTTCTGTCTCTAATTTTCTAAGAACCAAACGGGGAAAAAAAGACCGGAAAATCTCTCCAATATGGGCCACTAATTATCATGTAAATTTCATAGTAGGTTAGTTACACCAAAAAAGAGGTTTGCTTATGATGAGTCTCTCCAACTCATTTTATTGATTTAGAGTCAGATTTTTATCATTAAGAATAAAGTTCAGTCGCTTTATCTTATTCATGTGGCCTATGAAAACTTTTTTTTTTTTTTTTTTTTTTTTTGAGACAGAGTCTCGCTCTCTCGCTCTGTCGCCCAGGCTGGAGTGCAGTGGCGCGATCTGGGCTCTCTGCAAGCTCCACCTCCCAGGTTCACGCCATTCTCCTGTCTCAGCCTCTTGAGTAGCTGGCACTACAGGCGCCCGCCACCACGCCCGGCTAATTGTTTTTTTTTGTATTTTTTAGTAGAGACGGGGTTTCACCGTGTTAGCCAGGATGGTCTCGATCTCCTGACCTCGTGATCCACCTGCCTCGGCCTCCCAAAGTGCTGGGATTACAGGCGTGAGTCACTGCGCCCGACCCTACCAAAACTTTTATTATTATTATTATTATTATTATTATTATTATTATTATTATACTTTAAGTTTTAGGGTACATGCGCACAATGTGCAGGTTAGTTACATATGTATACATGTGCCATGCTGGTGTGCTGCACCCATTAACTCGTCATTTAGCATTAGGTGTATCTCCTAATGCTATCCCTCCCCGCTCCCCCCACCCCACAACAGTCCCCAGAGTGTGATGTTCCCCTTCCCGTGTGCATTCATAGATGGGAATTGAACAATGAGAACACACGGACCCCTTACGAAAACTTTTAATGTGTATTTGATCTTTAGAGAAAAAAAATGTAGGAAGAAAGTAGAATCTTTCCTAGTTACTAAATTTTTAATGACTAAGCCACTTCTTTATGCAATGTAGATAAATTCAACACTATTGTTAGGAACAATTTTGTGATGGGGTATACCTACCTTAACAGACAAAGTGTTTGCCACTATCCCATCTACGATGCCTTCAGTAAATGGATCAAAATGCTTGTCAGGCCTCCTCATGAACTCTGGCTTCAATCTGTAGCCACTCTTCCCGTTGTATTCATACATCCCCATATTTATTTGCATAGCCAGGTCTGAGTATCAAAAACACAAGCCTTATTGTGAGTTTATCTATACTTGGGGTAAGAAAGTAAGATTGTAAAGTAAAGTTGATCCCAGTCCACTTTTGTGACTGTATTCCCTTGGAAGAGAGTCATTGTAGAAATGCAGGAAACACAGATAAGAAAAAAATTACCTCTAATCCCCAAGTCCAGAAATAATCACTGCCAACTGGTGGGTGTGCAGTCTGCTTTTCCACTTCAAATATATTGTTGACATACAGTATATTGATTTCATTTAATATGTATCTGCCTTAATTATAACAGCTGTCTCAAATTCCTTTGATTAAATATATTAGAATAATATATTTGTATAATATATGTTAAATATTAATATAATATAATATATCTAATATATAATATATAATTATATATAAATATAGTATATACAAAATATCTAATATCTAACATATATTAGATATATTATTTATATTATTCTAATATATCTAATATCTAATGTATTAAATATATCATTCTAATATATATTAGATATATTAGAATGATATATTAAATATATCATTCTAATATATAAAGCATATATTAGAATATTATGATACAATATCTAATATCTAATTTCTAATTTCTAATTCTAATATCTAATTTCTAATATGATACACTATCTAATACAATATATTAGAATATAATATCTAATACAATATATTAGAATATAATATCTAATACAATATATTAGAATATAATGTATTTAACCATTCCCCTTTTGGGCACATTTATGTTTTTTCTAATTTTTCACCCTTATAATGTTTTGATAAACATCATTGTGGTGAAATCTTTGAAGCCATGATCAGTGATTTTCTTATGAGAGGAATTCCTGGGACAAATGATGTCCTCATTGGAAAATTTTTCTTTGATGCCTTGCTAAAATGCCCTTCAGAAAGCTTAAACCAGCTTATACTACTAAGCCATGTTTTTGAGAATGGACTTCTCCATGCCTCATTAAAAGAGGATTCTATTATTCCTTTTCCTGCTTTTTAATTTGTACAAAAAATTTCTTTTTTATAATTTGCACTTCTGTGATTACTTACAATTAACATCTAATTCTACATAGACTCTTTTCCAGTGGACAAAGGTTACTGGTCAAAATTTTCCTCAGACTCAGTGCATCAGATGAACGTTCACACATATTGCAACTGATAGAGTGAAAGAATACATATTAAAGTTGTAAAGAATCTGGGAAGTTGTCAACAGTTCCAGATTATCTGTGTCATGACTCATCTCTATGTGCATAATAAAGAGGTGATGGCAGAATTATTCTAAAGTTTCATTTAACAAATCATTTTTAGAGCAGAAAAAAATCAGTGAAATTTTCTCTTATTAAACTATTATTTTATAAACATAACTATGATGTCAAAATTGGACAAAATTTCAAAACAATAATGAATTTATGACACTTGAAAAAATTAGCTTCAAAAGCCTAAAAATTACATTAGCAAGTCATATGTTCTAAAAATAATACACAACAAATAAGTAGAGCCTATTTTGGGAACAAAAGGATAATTATATATTAGGAAATGAGATCTATTAAGATAACTTATCACATTTATGTCTGAAAAATGAACATATGATCATCCCAATGGATGTCCAAGAGACATTTAATAACATTCAATACCAACTTCTAAAACATTAGTCAAATAGGACCCGTGTCCTTTAGTATGTTAAAGAATATCTGACTCAAAGTCACAGCCAATATCTGACTTGATGATATCACAACAGTGAAACTTATATTAGGATCAGGATGAAGAGAAAGATGCCCACTCTTCACTTAGATAGAAGACGTTAAGACCTGGTGTTTGATAGACAAGGAGGTGACTATAGTTAACATTAATAGTTTGTACATTTAAAAATAGCTAGAAGACAGCAATTCGATTGTTTCTAATGTAAAGATAAATATTTCAGGTGATGGATATCCCAATTACTCTGATTTGATTATATAAATGTATTAAATTATCATACGTACTGCAAACGTTTGTACAGCTATTATGTATCAATAAAAATAAATTAATTGATTTTAAAAAGCCATAAATATCTAGCAAATTACTCTTAATCGTGGCTTAGAGCTTGATAGATACTTAATAAAAGGCATAATGTTGAACTTCCTACTGAATAAAAAAGAAAGATGCCCACTCGGAACCCTCATTTAATACCTGAGAACGGTAAGGCCAAAGCAATAAATAAGGCAGGTGGAGAAATGAGATATGATTAAATTACTGTCTTTGTGTGTCTAAAAATTCCAACGGAATGTACTGCAAAAAATAGGCTATTATAAGAGTTTAGAAAGATGATCATTTGTAAAATACAATCATTTATAAAATAAACAAATATACAAATATAAATATCCAGAAACAATCTGTTAAAAATATAATATAAATAAAAAGAAAGATTCAGTCTAAGAAAACTAGACCTCTAATGAAGACAAGTGATTTTGCTGAGGACTTAATACAAAAAATTTTAAAGTAAAGAGAAAAGCATTTTTCCTGTGACAGAAAAACTAAAAATTAAAAAGGTGTCAGTTTTTGTCAGATAAATTTATAAAGTTAATATGATTTTAAAAATAGTTTTTTTTTAGTAGTCAAGGAAAACATAATACAGTTAAATTAAGTTTATTTGAAATAAGAATTCCACTGGCAATGGCAAAAAAGGAATTGAAAATTAATAGTAGTAAAGGAGAATCACCACTTCCAGGTATTAATCCATATTATAAAATACAGTAAAAACAGTGAGTTATTGCATCCAGGAAGGCAGACAAATTTATTAATGGAAAAGATACAAAGTGAAAAAATGGGTCTGAATTAACAACAACAATGAAAAAGGCTGTATCTATTAACGTGTAATTCCAGTTCAGTGGGATGATTGTTTAGGATGAAAAAAAAGGATTGATCTCACTGAGACTATGGACCAAAATTAAATTTTGATGGTTGAAAAGGTTAAATAAAAAAGAAACCATGAGAAAAATGGGAGCACAAGGCTTTCATCCTGGGGTGAGGAGGCTGTAATCATACAAGTAAACCAAGAACTTTTAATTAAACATTAATCAGCCTGACCTGATCCACTGAATTGTCTCTGTTTCACAAAAGACAATATACCCTTTAAATAAAAAGTGCTGTTATAAATCAACAAGAAAATTGACGATAGTCCTGAATATGTAATTCATAAAAGCAGAAATACAAAAACCAAGAAACATATTTTAAAAAGTTCAACCTTAATAATGATTCAAGAAATGAATTTAAAATAACAGTGAAATAACACATTTTTGTCTGGTTTAATTATTATTATTATTTAACGATAATACTTAACCAAGATCGCAAATGAGAGGCCACGTCATATTAAACATTGCTGACAGCGGAGTAATGTAGCACAACATTTTTTACAGACAATTTGGCAATATTCATAAAGGTACTTAAACTGTTCACATCTTTTAACGTTAGTAATTCTGTTTTTAAAATATTTTCCAAAAGAAATTTAGGGAATAGAAATAAGTTTTTAGCGAATTGTGAAATATGCTTAGTATGCAGCTATTGAAATTCATGTCTCTCTATGGCACTTAGGTGAGTGTGTGTTTATATATGTATATATGAATATATATGTATTTATTTTAAATGAGTAGTTACATAAAAAAAGCATTTATATGTAGACAAAAAAGACATAGATTACAAAGCTAAAAGTCAACACTGTGGAATCTCTGAGTTGGTAGCATTCCTGGCAGTTTGTTTTTAAAATACTTACTGAATTTTCCATTATTTTCAAAATAAATATGTATTATCTTAAAAAGCATAAAAATTTTTGTTTGAAAAATAATGCAAAGCCTGTAGAAATAAAGATCCATTTACAGAATAATTGAAGAACATGTCTCGATTTTCAAAATTCACTTTTTTTATGCATTGATATTCCCTTCATTGAAATTTGCTTTTATTTATTTTTTCAGTGAAGTCTGGCAATTTTCTCTCCCCCAATTATGTAAGAATGGTTTTTGGACACTTGGCAATGTGAGTTCATAGCAGAATGGGAACAAGCATGTACTTACCCATTGTCTGGAAATTAAGTGCCACCATCTGACAACCTGCATTCCAGAAGAGCTGAGGCATATAGTTGGATGAATCCACACGTGTTCCTTTTGGATATATCCTGCTAAGCTGCATTTTGTTATATCTGGACCATCATGTTAAGTAGTGAATACAATTATAAAAATATTTAGTCAATAATAGTAACTAAGAAGCTACCTTCCATCTTTCTCCATTTGGAAAATGAAGTAAATATTGATGATCTCGTTGGGCTACTTTGGGATATTTAGTGTTAATTTTATGAAAGAAATTAAATAGGCTGTTTCATTTTATTTCACTTCATGCATAATAGCAAAAATTTTTGTTGTCAGTAATATCAAATATGCAAAAAGCTTTCTAAACAAACAGAATAAGTATGCTCTTATCACATAGGCATAGCATCACCTTTGCAGAGCCCCGTGGGTAAAAGTCAATGGGGTAGCAAAAAGTGGCTGAGCCAAAGTCAATGTGATTTTGTGGAGAGTATTAAGGACAGACTTAATGACTAAGGACACACAAGGAGGCTGGAATGTGTTAAATCATTTGAAAGAATGATATTGTGTTTGGCAGAAGTAGATAATATGCACTGTATAGCTATTTTTGAAATGCTGTCTGCTAATTTTTATTAATTTTCTCTGGGAATGCTATTTGCCAAGACTGTGGTACTCTTTATAATTGATAGCAAGGTCAATGTACCATGGAAGTTTCTGATCTTGCTTAATATTTTGGTTCCTATCATTATCAGTTTTCTATCCTAAGAATCTTGTAGTTGTTGGACCATGCTATGTCTTTAAAACATGACTGACTAGTTCCTATCACCAAGTTAGGTGAAGGTTGGTTAGGGTTCTGAGCTAGGCAAAATGAAATTGAACCTCAACTCTCAAACTTGCTAGCTGAATAACCTTGGACAAATTATTTTGTCTTTCTGTGACTCAGTCTCCTCATCTATAAAATAGATTTAACAATTTCTATGTCATAGGACTATTGTGAGGATTAAATGAGATAAGACAAGATCTATCACACAGTCAATAAGGAATACTAACGATGATAATTTTCTAGCAGGACTTTATTTATGGAGTCAACATTTGTTTCTTCTTCCACTGATGAATTTTAAAGGTTAACTTTATTCTGGGACTTATTACATGAAATTGAGCACTTTGTGATATTTACTGTTAATTTTATGAAAGAAATTTAATAGCCTGTTTCACTTTATTTTAGTTCATGGATAGTAGCAAAAATTTTTGTTGTCAGTAATATCAATAAATCCAGTCTTAGTAATGTATATTTATATTTACAATGTCATCATCATCATCCCTACTATTTGGACATATAGTACATATAAGTATGTGAGATGCCAAGTCAGGTATATATTTCTTTACATATATCTTATATATGTGTAAAGTATGCACACTCATGTTACATATGTTGTACCTAATCCAAAGAGCAAACCATAAAGCTAGTATAATTATTTCTGCTTTATAGACAAGGAAAGTCAGGATTAAGCAAATTGCCTAAAGACACAGAGCTTGGTGGTGTGAAGGCAACCTTGAAATCTACGCTTCCTTTATTCCAAGACCAGTTTTTTGTTCTATAGGCCAGACTACCCCGCCCAGCATTGTATATGATACCTGAAACTATTTATCCGCCCCAGGCTATATACTTAAGCCATTTTATGCATCTTTCTCCTTATTAAAAAACCAAATGAACAAATAGCACAAGACTTCAGCTGTGTTCATTCTGCAGTCATTCGTCAAATCAAGGATACTCTACAAATTCCACTGGAGACTTGGTGAGTTGTTCAAGTCCTTTGGTTTCCACGAAGGAAGACATTTCAAAACTTTTATTTCTTTCTGAGTTAAGCAACAACAAAACAAAAAAGGGGAAGGTGAGAAATACAATTCATTGTTATAAATTATAACATTATAAAAGAAATGGGTAAATATTCAGTGAAGTTGAGGGCAAATAATCCTCAATGTAATTTCAATATTTAATTTTTTTTTCTAGTGCACTATTTACCTGTAACAAAAGTTGAGTCTTGTTAGTTGTCTTTTCTAACGTTTGCTACTTGGGTCAGAGCTACTTATGCTTTTGTAATTTAGGGACATGAATGAATTCTAGATGAGTATAGTGTGGCAATAAAAAAATTTGTCAAAAGAGCAGGGACCCCGTGGGAATCTTTTGTTCTAAATTCACCCAGATTTTTTTCTTAGGGCCAATATGGGGTTTAACAAAAGAGACCATGGGAATGTTTGTGCTAGGTGCTGACTATCTCTTTCATACCCACATTGCCACCTTATCAGTTTGTATATACTTTTTTGGTTCAAATAACTAATATGACAGAATTATGGTCTTTCAAAACAGAAAGGTCCTTGGAAATTTTCCAGTCTCATGGCTTCATTTTCATATTAGATACATGATATGGCTTGGGTGTGTCCCCACACAAAATCTCCTTGAATTGTAATACCCACAGTGTCAAGGGGGGGTTACCAAGTGGGGGTAATTGAATTATGGGCGTGGTTCCCCTGTGTTGTTCTCATGATAATGCATTAGTCTCATGAGAGCTGATGGTTTTATAAGCATCTGGCATTTCCCTTGCCTGTACTCATTCTCTCTCCTGCTGCCCTGTGAAGAGGTGCCTTCCGCCTCATGATTGTTGTTTCCTGAGGTCTCCCCAGCCATGCAGAACTGTGAGTCAACTAAACCTCTTTTCTTTACAAATTACCCAGTCTCGGATATTTCTTCATAGCAGCACGAGAATGGACTAATAAAGTATAAAATAAAATAGAGGCCAGAGAGGAGGATGTGCTAAACACAAGAGAAACATTTTGAAAGTGAAATTCAAGCCTCCAATTAGAGTGAGAGAAAGAAAACAAAGTTATCTTAGTTTAGAAAGACCGAGAATCACTTTCTCTACCCTCATCCCCACTAAAAACCAACAATTATGAGCAGTATTTTAGATAAGTATAGCACAGGGTGGTTATATAGCTCTGAATTTTTTTAAACTGAGTTATCTTTGAGATATTTTCCCTCTTTGACCTCTCTTTCGAAATTAAAACCTCGTTCTTCTTAATGATTTCCAGGCTTCGTCATCCATCTTCTCACCTTCTCCAATCCACTCTAAGGCAAACCTTGGCTTCTCTTATTTTGGTCCATCATAAATCTACCTTTATATGACTTATTAAATTAAGCATAACTATTAATTAAAATTCAGTCAACATTAATAGGTACTTGGTAAAATATGTTGAATATTCTTTTTTCAAGGTTATAAAATGATATTAAACACAAGGAGAAAAGTGCTTGTTTGTGAGTCTAGCTGGTGCTGTTGTTTCCAGGTTCTGAAGAATCTAAATATATTGGCTCTTTCTCACACTTGGCTACTTGTCTTGGAACTTTTAACTAATGAGTTAGAGAAACTCATTGCAGCCAATGAAATTACAGTGATATAAAAATAACTACGCTAGGATGTTTCAAAGAAAACAACTTGTAAGAAACATCAGAAATTAGGACATCGAATTCAATGTTGAGAAATCATTATATATAAACTCTTGGAAGTTGAATTCTTTGTTGTAGAGATCTAGGTTGCATATACCACTAAGTGAAGACTTTTTGTAAGATTATACAAATATAAACAAGCGTGTTTGGTAGAGGCTTGGATTTTGATATAGCTGCAAAGCCATCCTTGATTAGAAGCTAGTACATTTAGGCAAATTTCTGTTTTTAAGGGTACACCCTTATAAGTGGCTAGTAAGTTTCAAGGATTCCCTTAATCTGATAGCATCTTACGCTTCATGCAAATACAAGGGGCATTTTCATAAAAGAACCCTTTTGTCTGGGTAAAGATGATATTTTTCTTTGCACAAGTATGGATGTATAGTTGAATAAAGGGAAAACACAAAGTGATGTGAAGTTAATGCATTTTCTTCTAAATATATACATGTGATGGACAAATGGAATATAGATAAATTGGTTCTATTTCTAATTATCAGGGTTCATCAAGTCTCTGCCTGCTTCCCTTCTGGGAAACAGGTAGATAGTTTATTTCAACATTATCACTTATGTAACAGATGGATCTCACTGTGTGTTGCGAACAAAAAGCAAAGTACAATTCCCAATTAGTTGTACTCTGGTCATGTGTCTTTCCGATAGCCATGTATGGCCTGTAGCCCTATTAAATATTTTTGGAGAACACCATAGAATACTTTCTCATATGGTTATTTTTATATATTACAATACATGCATATTTATTATATGTGTAAAGTAACAAGGCAGTCAAAATGTACATATATTTAAGACTTCAAAAGCATAAATCTCTCTATTAAGGGTAACATTCTTTGGTCCCATTACTCCGTATTTAAAATATAATCATTATATGCTGCAAGAGGGGTTTTTCTCCAGGGAAAACTTACTTTTTGAAATTTCAAATGACTCAAACTTGACTGGCTGAATATAGTTCACCAGATTAGACATTTCTTCTGTGGCCATAGCCTCACTTCCAGCAGTCCCCTGGAAGTAGGAATAAAAAAGAAAACATTTCCAGAGTCAGCATTATATTATCAGTTATTTTCCCAGGAAAATGACAACATGATTCAAGCATGCAGAAAATCATCCCTCCCTTTCTGAAAATTACAAAATGAAAATTCATTACAGGAGAAAGGCAACAGCAACACCTCATTTTATAAAAGGGAGGGAGGAAGGGAGGTGGGAGGTTGAATGGTGGCTGGCAGCATGGCCCCAACATAATCACTCCCTATCCCCTGCCCCCTCCTTTCCATTTAGAAATGCCTGATCTTAGCCCCTCTGCAGGCCTCAGACTCAGATCCTGCATTTTACTAAGGTCATTGGAATGCCCATCAAAGTTTGAGAAGCACTGAGCTATAGCTCATCTTCCATTGCAGGGTGTCCATAGGTGTTGTCTAAGGTTAGTAATTTTTTTTAACATTTATTTTAAATTCAGGGCTACACGTGCAGGTTTTTTTTTTTATATAAATAAACTTATGTCACTGGGGTTTGTTGTGCAGATTATTTTGTCACCCGGGTATTAAGCCTGGCATCCATTAGTTATTTTTCCTGATCCTCTCCCTCCTCCCACCTCCACCCGCAGGTAGGCCCCATGTCCCTTTATGTGTCCATGTGTTCTCATCGGATTCGTAAATTAAGAATTCACTGTACAATAAGAAAATTGTTAGGTAGGTGACCACCAAATGAAGGGAAAATTGATAATAATAATAAAAAGATTGCTTTGTGGAAATGGGCAGGGGTGGGTAAACAACTGCTTTCCTTCATCAACATTCTTCCCTCCCTCCCTTCTTGGCTCCTGATGTGTCTTAGACAAGCAGGAAAGCATAGTGCAGGGATTAATGGCTCGCGTTCTAGAGCCAGCCTGCCTGATTTCGAATCCCAAGTCCACTAGTTAGAAACCGGGCAACCTTGGGCAACTTACTTAATTGCTCTGTGCCTCACTTGACTCATTTGTAAAATTAGGATAAAATCAGTTCCTACAGCATATAGGGGTTTTTGATTAAAAAATAAGTTAATTTATGTGAAGGAGCTTAGAACAGTGCCTGGCAAGTGGTACTACAATCTCATGTTGCTTTTGCTATTATTAGCTATGACATATTACTTTGATAGAGTTTTTAATGAAAAAGAAAACCAATAATGCAGTGTTGGCACAAAATGGGCCTCTGTAGAGTGATCTAATATTGTCTCACATTTTTAGAAGAGAGAATGCATGGAGATGAGTTTCTTTTAAAAATTCTGGTAGTAATATTTGGGTCAAATGTTAACTGGGAAACATTCATTTGCAAATGGACTATCCAATTAGTAAGAGAGTTTAAAAATTATTTAGAATCACTGATCAGAAATTATACACAATTGAAATCATTCTCAGGAACATATACTTTGCCAGACATGGTAAGCTGTTTTCCTCCTGGAAATCAAAAATTGAAATGTAGTGAGGGAACATAATTAAGCAAAACTTTAGACATTAAAAAATAATTCTAAGAGGAAGGACATCAAGTAAGAGCAGCTTATTTTTTGTTTCATTTTTACTAAATTGTAGAGCTACAAGCGTTGAGACAGAACATATCTAACAAATTTGAAAGCAGATTCAATATAAACTTTAAAATACGTATTTTTAAAGAGAGACAGTGTCTTGCTCTGTTTTCTAAGCTGGAGCACAGTGGTGTGATCATAGCTCACTGCAGCTTCAAATTTTTGGACTCAAGCCATCCTCCTGCCTCAGCCTCCCTAGTAGCTGGAACTACAGGTGTACACCACTGCACCTGGATGTGTTTTATCTTTCATTTTAACTTGTTTTTTTAAAGGCGTGAGGTCTCTCTCTGTTGCCCAGATTGTTTCAGTATAAACTTTTGGTAAGACAAAATTCTAAAATTCCAGTTGATCTGCTTCTGATTCTCTTCTAGGTTCTGTGCAATTAATATTTTTGAGCTAATCAAGTTACTCGGGATGCCTAAGTTTATATAAATAGGTAGCTCTAGTGTTCCAAAATTAAAACAATGCAATGAATGTCACAGTTCTGATCATTTTTCTAAACGCCATATCTTCTCCGGATTGTGGAACATTTCATAAGCCATTTAATTGCCTCAAAAATTGAAGCTGGCAATTGGAAGGCACAAATCTACTTTTTGCCACTAGATGGCAGAAAGTGACCATGAGACAGACCCAGGAGAGTACAGGGTGGTGGAATGCCTTAGGGACCAGAAGCCCTAAGTACCCACCTCATCCATTGAAGATTTTTTACAGTCATCATCATCATCGTCGTCGTCACTTTCCGTATCAGCTTCTCCTGTCAAATTTTAATAACAGATCATCATGTCACCATTTCAACATTTAGCTTTACAGCATTTGTAACACATATTTTACCTAAAATCAATTACAGATTTCCTTGGAAGTTGGGCTGTTTAAAATTATTTTTTTCAAGGATTTAAATTTTATTCGTTATAGAAAATTATACTGACATTTTGAATATAGATTTTTTCCTAAACTGGATTTGTTAATAAATAGCACTTAAAATTTCAAAATTCTATTAAAAAATGCGTGTCAATATTTTTTCTCTATATGTTTTTAAACACGTGGCATTGAAAACAGTTTGCTGGCATTTAATACAGTTTGCTTTCTATGGTACATGTATTCTATTTTGATATACAAACACTCTCTCAGGGTCTCTATGACCCCGAAAACAGATATACTATCTATCCCTCCTTCATCTTTCCCTCCTTTCCCAAGCCGCGACTCTTCCATGCAATGCGTGGCCAGCACATAGCTCAGTGATCTTGTGTTGACATTTTTCCCAAGGCCAGAGAGGACCTTGCAGAAGTCAAAGAAGTTAGGAGCTGGGGCAGGAACTCTGGGGCTTTGGCAGCAAAGTCACTACATAAAAATCGTGAAGGGCCAACTTTATCCTATGATTTGTCTGCAAGCTTATTTGATGGATGTATTGTCATCACAACGAAGTGCATATCGTAGAAAATGCTGATATTATTTTTAAGAGGGCAGGATAACATGGGTAAGTCCTTAAATATCAGCATGATTGGAA
Source organism: Homo sapiens (assembly GCF_000001405.40). Taxonomy (NCBI): domain Eukaryota; kingdom Metazoa; phylum Chordata; class Mammalia; order Primates; family Hominidae; genus Homo; species Homo sapiens. The sequence goes on along the minus strand of NC_000020.11, from coordinate 8,721,603 downwards.
ATCTAACTCCATCAGAAATAATTCAGCTTCATATGTAGCCAATATACACTCATTTAAATGAATTGTTTTTCCCCTGAAGAATTAATGGACATTTCTGCTAGGTTAAATATTCATATCAGTATGAAGCATTACATTCTTCCATAGCTATGGGCTTCAGTCAGACCCAGAAATATCCGTTATATAAAAAAGATTTTCAAGTAAAAAGTCAGCGAGGTTGTTCTAAATGGTTCGAAAGTTCTAAATTGATTTAACTACTATCTTTCAGGGCTCACACAATGCAATAGCACGATGAGCCCAATAGATGGCAATAATGGTTCAACAATGAAGTAACTTGCACCCCTGCCCACTGCCAGCCTTCTGAAAGTTAGCTGCCCTACTCGATTTATATAAATGGAGACAGTACCACTGCACTGTCCTCTGAGAAGCTTATAAAAGTTTTCATTTGGCTGACACAGTTCAATTACTGAATGACAGTAGTGAAAAAAGTATTGCTTAAAAATCTCCAGGGGAAAAAAGATTTCTGGGACCAGCAAGGGTTTTTATGTATTGGATTGTTTATTAAGGAAAGCCACATACAACCACTTTATAATGCTGATATTGTGTTAGTTAATAAGGTGAATCGATTATATTTTGGATAGAAAACGTATCTTACTACAATATTAGAGACACATTCTTTTAGGGTATTGCCACTTAAGCATTTTTATAATGAAATTTTTGTCCCAAGTTCTTATTACCTTTTTTTTTTAAAAAAAAAAAATCAGAGAGGGGATTCTTTTAATTAAATAATTAAAAAATTGTTTGGCAGAGCTTTCTATAAAATACTTCATGGGACCCAACAATTCGCAGTCATTTCAAATAGCCAATCAGGTCATTCTTTAGTGTCTGTGGGAAAGAAAGAATTTGTCTTTCTTTACTGTAAAAAGCAGAAACCTGATTTTTCTCCTGTAAATCTTTGGAGGGATGTTGGGGGAATCTTGTTGAACTATAAAAAATATCTTAGGTTACCCTAGTTCCTTAGGACAAGTCTACTAGCAAAGGGCTGAATCCTGCAAGAGGCATCTGGCCAACAGGGGCCATGATAAGTAAACTAGCTTTGAAATACAATACCTGTCACGTTTTTCAAGTTACTTGAGTTCCCAGTACTGTGAACATCTACGAACCAAATGGTAAATTAGCGGTGCTCTTTATTCAGGTACCTACATATTAAAATGTCCAAAAGTTTCCACTGATTGCATAATAGACAACAGGGCTAGCTTAGGAAATCTACTGAATAACTAACAGATTGTTGCCCTTTCTCTATATTAAGCAATAATGTTCACTGCCTGTAAAAATCGTCATTTGTGTTATGCATCCTGTTAATAAGAGGCAGAGAACTGGTAGTGGGAAAGGCAGATGGTAAAAAACACAAGCACCCACATGCAAAGGAAGACAAGGTTTGCTTGCTATCATTCAACGGATAGAGTTGTGTTAGGAAATAGGTGTGAATGAAAGGCCTGTTAATGATACTCACTTCCAAACTTCAAAGAGAACATTTTTACTGAGTACAGAAATTATTTTTGAAAAAATGTTGAAAGACATGCACAATAATGATGAAAGTACACATTCAAAAGCTACAGGACAAAACCCTTTCAAAGAATTATATAACGTCTGTTGATAAAGATTTTAATCGAAACAATAAAAAAACAGGCAATTGAGACAGAAAAATAGAAGAAAAGATAAATCAGAGTCTCAGGCTACTTTTTTTTAACCCTGATTGTCCTAGAGTTTATATTTTAATTATTTTAAAATCTTATAACTGATGTATAACAGGCGTACAGAAAAGTACACGTCGTAAGTCCACAGTGCAAAGAATTTTCACCAAATAAACGTGTCTGAGTAAATGATATCCAGATCAAGAAACAAAATATAACCAATCTCTAGAAGGCTCTTGGGCTCCCTGCTGGTTGCTTTTCTTCCAAGGGAACCCATTATCCTGACTTCTAATAAATAGCATAAATTAGTTTTGCCTGTTTTTGTGTGTTATATAGGTTAAATCATACAGTATGTAGTTTTTGTGTACCTGACTTCCTTTGCTCAATATTATGTTTATTTATAGTGATTCATCCATAGTTTTCATTTAGTTATAGATTATTCTCATGGCTGCATATTCTTTCTTTGTGTGAATATACCATAATTCATTTATCTGTTGACGAGTATTTGGTGTCCAGTATTTGGCTATTCTGAATACCTCTGCTTTAAGCAATTCTTGTACGTGTCTCTTGGTAAACCTAAATACACATCTTTAGCAAGCATATACCTAGGAATGGAACTCCCGAGGTACAGGGAGTGCATATATTCAGCTTTTGTAGACACTGCTAAGTAGTTTTCCAATTGATTGTTCCTATGTTTAACTTATAACTGAAAAACTTCCTACAGTCAAGCTTAAAAGTTTCTTCCACTTAATCACCCTGCAATCAGGAGATGTCTATAATGCGATTTTCAGATTGCCAAGCTTCTGACTGAACTTGGAAGATAAATCAGACTAAATGACAAATAATCCCAAGGAAATGAGTGCCACTGAATTCTTTTCTCATCAACCACAGCAATCTATTTCACCCTTAATTTAAAAGGAAAAGAAATGATATTAGGCATCCTCTAGGAGCTTCAAAAGATAATTTAAGTAATTTTGCCATGTCACAGATTTTAAAAAGTTCTTTAAAACATGAAAAAATTGAAATGCCCAGAACTCTTCAGCATATCATCAATGACAATGCATCCAGTGCTCAGTTCTATAGTTAATATTTCCCATTATGAAGCTTAAAGTCATATGGTCACTCTGAAGACTATTTGGCTTACATGGTAGCCAGAATAATGACCTCCCAGAGATGTCTCTGCTCCATGAATATGTTAGCTTGCATGATAAAAGGGACATTGCAGGTGAGATGGAGTTAAAGACCTTGACATGGGAGCAATTATCCTGGATTATCTGGATGGATCCAATGTAATGACTTGAGTTCTTGCCAGCAGAGGACATTTCCTGCCTGTGGTCAGAGGGAGATGTGACCACAGGAGAAAGGTTAGTGAAATGCAGCCTTGCTGGCTTTGAAGCTGGAAGGAGCCCCAAGCCAACGAATGTGGGTGGCCTCTAGAAGCTGGAAAAAGCAAGGAAACAGCTTCTCCCTTAGCGCCTCCAGGAAGGAACACAGCCCGGCTGACACCTGGAGTGTAGCCCAGTGAAACCCAGGGGGCTTCCTGACTTACAGGACTAGAGGATAATACATTTGTGCTGGTTTAAGCCGCTAAGTTTGTAGCAGCAAGAGAAAACCAGTAGTTCAAAACTGTGCAGAAATAGGAATGTTCAAAGTCCTTCTAAGCTAATTTCAGAGCAGCAAATTCTTTTTTTTTTGAGACGGAGTCTCACTCTGTCACCAGGCTGGAGTGCAGTGGCTGGATCTTGTCTTACTGCAACATCTGCCTCCTAGGTTCAAGCGATTCTCCTGCCTCAGCCTCCCGAGTAGCTGGGACTACAGGTACGTGCCACTATGCCCAGATAATTTTTGTATTTTTGCAAGAGACAGGATTTCACCATGTTGGCCACCAAAGACACGGGGTTTCACCATGTTGGCCAGGATGGTCTCGAACTCCTGACCTCATAATCCACCTGCCTCAGCCTCCAAAAGTAGTAGTATTACAGGCATGAGCCACCACGCACAGCCCAGAGCAGCAATTCTTAAACCAACACAAAACATGACGGGGAGAGCCCACCAGCCCCTCACCGGCTCCTGGGGATGAGGGCTCGAACATGCTGGAGGAGTCACTGTAGGTGTTGGAGGCTTGTTCTGAGAGCTTCTTTTTGCCGCTTCCTTCTGATGACTTGTGTGATTTCTTCTTATTTTTCACCAAAATTTTATACATTAAATCCATAGGGCTTGGAAGAGGAACTCCAGATTCCAGCTAATAGAAATGAAAGGCATATTCTTTAAAAATACTGCTCCCTCTTTCAGATCCCCTCCCCAGACCCCCAGATCAGCTGTGGATACCAAATGTCTAGACTTCTTCCCTACCTTCAACACTGCTCATTAAACTCTTAGTGTATCTTACATGGGAGCTAATTTTTTTTTATATCAAAGATATATTTTCATTACTATACTTTTTTTTTCAACATATTCTACATGAAGAAGACCATAGAAATGTACTGGTAGATTTGATGTACTAAATCTGAACATTTATGAATTTTCCAATGGAACATAGAAACCCAATCATCTTGATTTAGGACAGATAAGAAGGCCCTGGCCTGAATTTTTGAAGGAGGGAAGCCAGGCATCTGCCAGGAGGAGTTGGTAAAGACGGGCAGAAGCTTCCAGGTGAGCCCATGAAATCATTTTTTCAGATGCCCCTTAAAATCAGCAAAATCCCCATCCTGGTACTAGGTAGTTTAGCTGCACGTCCCTGGCATCAACAGAAGTGGATGAGGTGGCTTCAGATTTCCTCCCAGCCCTAAGATTCAAGCTACCACATTTGCAAGCCTTATTTTGACTGTTTCAAGTTTGTACATCTAACGGGAAAATCAATTTCCCATGAGGGGGTCATTAGATATTGTATCAGAGAGCATGTGTGCAAGCCACAAGATAGGTTACTTTAAGAAAATCTATAGAATGCCTAAGTTAGTCCTCTATTCTTGGCTTGCAATGAGCGGAGGGACTGGTATAAACTCACTTACAAATGCATGGAGATTGGGCAAAAGGGTGCGGGAAGGAAAATGCTACTTTAGGATATTTCTGCTGCTTTCCTTCCCAAAGCAGAGATATCATCAATGCAATGGGCGACCTGAGTTGTGCCACACCAAAAGGTGCATCCAAGGAAATAGAGAACAGCCAGCAGGGACAGGCCAAGAAGACATTGTGCCACCTGCAGTGTCCTGTTTTGCCAATCCATTCATCTCAAAGAGGTGTGACGAGGTTCCCTGGGAGTGAGCAGAGGCCTGTCCTCTTGGACTGTCTCTATGGGCTGATTGTAATTGTTGGGAAATCTGCACTCTTGATTGAGTTTCATCAGGCAGCCAGCGAGAGAGAAGAGTGTGGGAAGAGGAAGAGTGCAGAGGCATTCCTCTACCCTTAGTGGGGCCCATTGCTGGTATCCTCCTTGTCAAAGATTTCATCACCAACTGCATTAATCTTACCAAGAAACATAAATATGAAAAGGAAGTAAGTTTTCCCTCAACCTCATTCATCAATAATGCATACATTCCTTCAAGGACAAACATCAGAACTGCTTACTGGATATTTTTCCAGGGGCTCCATGAGAAGGGCATCCCCAAAGATCAGTCGGCAGTACTCCGCCATCTTGGCTTGCTGCTTTGGGCTAAGGGAGAACAAGAACAGAAGAAGGAAAGTAGGGAGGCTTATCCAAAGAACCTGAACAGGATTGCTTTGTGTTATTAACTACAGAAAGAAGTAATTCTCTAATCCCACCCATCAGGATTGGTTTTTATCATCCTGGATCTTTATCTTAACTTATGTGAATTTGAATAACATACACAGATGGACAGCGAAGGCACTGATGTGTGAGGTGGTTCCCAAGGCAGACCTGCATAGACATAGGTGGAGGGGACAGCATGTCATTTGCTGTAACTGGAGCCTTGAAATTCCCAGAGTTAGAGGCTCAGTCCCTTTTGTTTAACTCGCTGATTCCAAGTCAATTGCAAGACACTTGGAGAAAGAACCCTTTCATATTTCCATGTAAATTATCAAGTGAAATTTGTAAACCACTGCTGCAAAGGAGTGTTTATGAGGAGATGAAAGAGGATAGATAAGGAAGGATGGCAGGGAGGGAGCTGAATAGGGAAAGAGAGACAACGGAGAGAGAAAAAGAGAGGGAGAGAATCTCAAAATGTAGAAAAGGGCAGACAGGCAAACAGTGTGTCCACTTGGGGAGGGGGTCCTGGAGGAAAGATAAAAGTAGCAGGCACCTTGGGGAAAGGTGTGTGCAACTCATATATACATAACAGAATAGCAAAGGTGGTATCATTCTGAATATATTGCCAGTAGGGACCTGGTATAATGGAAAAAGGCTGGCACTGCAGGGTTTGCTGAGCTGAGCGACAGGGTCTGAACCACTCTGGGTCTATAAAATGAGGAGAATAATAACCGTTCTTGGAAAGGGACAGAGGGTGCTGAGAAGATGAAATGAAGTAATGGATGCAAACGCCTTTGAAACATTAAAAGAGCAGGGCAAATGTAAGATGATTCCACTGTTACAAGGCGGCGTCCGCCAGCTAGACTAGACAAATCCTACGCCCAGTAACTTGTAAACACAGCTGATATAGGGGAACATTCATATTGTTTCAATGCTACTGCTTCCCTTGACCTTTCAAAAAGCAATAATTTTTTTTCTCATTTCGTGGAATGTTAAATATCATTACAAAGTTATCCAGTTCCTTTGGGTTTTATGGATTTTGAATTTGATCTACAGTCTGTCGAACTTGATTTCCAATAGTTATCTCTACATGCTGCAATGATAATACATTTTAGCAGGACTGTGACTGTACTAAGAATAAGTAACAGCGATGAAAATCCTTCTTGACGAAAATTCAAATTGATCATAAAATGTGATTCTTATTCTTATTTTCATTCCCTTTTCCATGAATGTTTAAGCCTGGATCATGGGCTTTTTTTTTTTTTACTGGGGTTAGGGGGTTGGTATTGACGGTTCAAATCATATTGAAATGGTCCACAGGAAAAGTCACTATTTTGTATTCATTTTTTTCTTTTTAAAAAACCAAGTGTGTGCTTTGGGTGGAAAGTGAGTTCTCTGGCATTTGAATATGAAACCCCAAAGTCACTGCTTTCTTGGAACTGCAGGGAGAGGCTAAGGAGAGATTCAAAGGATTTGCAAAGTCCTCCACAGCAACCGTGCCCCTTCTCACCAGGCCTCTCTTGGTCTGTATGGGAGCTTACTAAATGGCTTATGCGGCCATCAGAATACACTGCCACATTCCTCAGCAGTATTAGGGAGAGAAGAAAAACTGCTAATCAGAGAATTGATCCTGAAAAGCATTGGAGGTCGTTGCTGAAGGACAAGTCATTAGAAACTGTGTCTATGAGACCTTTGGGAGCAGGCAGAGAAGTGGCTGATTTGGTAGGGCCAGCCCCGGGCATCCCTGGGTTCAAGTCTTCTTCCTCCAGTGATAACTTGCACAGGGGTTCTACCAGGTCAGCCTGCTCTGTGGCTGCTGCTGATAAGAAGTACAGTTGTGCTGGGACGACATGTTCCAGAGTGCACTAAAGAAATGGCCAAACCCTCCATTTCCCTTTCACAGAAAGATGCTACTCAGTATCATGGAGCTTTACTTCTCCAAGTGTGGCCCCTGAACCATCAGCAGAATCACACCAGGAGCTTGTTAGAAATGCAGATTCTGAATCAGAGACTCCGGGACAGTGGAGTCCAGGAGTCTGCATCATAACAAGCCCTCTTGATTCTGGTGTGTGTTCAAGCTTGAAAACCACTGCGATTGATTAAGGTAAGTCAGCATGTGCCAAAGTAGATGACATTTTTCCTGACTGTTGGAAATTGGGAGCCCCGAATTATCTTTGATCAAACACCTGGAGTGAAAGCAGGGCATTTTACCTGAATGCCCTGCTCTCAGGATTTTCCAGGGAACCATATTCTTTCCATTAGAGGAATTTAAGGGAGATGTCCCAAATATCCCCAAACAGGTGTCCTCTGTCAGGAAGTCCCCAAATCAGGCCCAGATAAAGATTTTACTGGAGCCATGATTATCACTCAATTCCACTAAGGAATCACCTGAGCTGTTAATGCTGCAGGTGACAGGATCAAGTCCACAGTCCCCTGATTCATGTAGCTGGGACCAAAGCCCCGGAACATGCATTTTAAGCCAGACTGCAGATAATTCTGATGCAGGTGGTTAATAAACCATGGTGGTTACAGCTTAGCTCTTCTATTTCATTCACGTTACCTGGGGTCTTATTAAAATGAAGAGTCCAACACAGAGTCCAGGGTGGGGTACAGGACTCAGCTGCAGCTCTAACTTGCTCTCCAGTGATGCAGATGCTGCTGGTCTGAGGACCACACTTTTAAGAACAAGAATCTATGTCTAATGTAGACGTTTAGAACCTGCCTGAGGGCTGGGTATGGTGGCTCACGTCTGTAATCCCAGCCCTTTGGGATGCCGAGGCAGGCAGATCACCTGAGGTCAGGAGTTCGAGATCGGCCTGGCCAACATGGTGAAATCCTGTCTCTACTAAAAATGCAAAAGTTTGCCAGTTGTGGTGGTGCGTGCCTGTAATACCAGCTACTTAGGAGGCAGGAGAATCGCTTGAATCTGGGAGGTGGAGGTTGCAGTAAGCCGAGATTGCACCACTGCACTCCTGCCTGGGTGACAGAGTGAGACCCTCAAACCAAACAAACAAACAAAAACAAAAACAAAACCTGCCTCAGAATCAACTGAGATGGACAGAACAAGAGGTAGGTGTCCTAGCAAAAAGTAAAATGAGCTATTTGGTAATCAGGCTATTCATGTTCTCAATAAACATGCACACCCACCTGATGGAACTAAATCAGAGCAGAGAGCAAATTGAATTGAAAAAGTCAGAGGAAAACAAACCAACTTTAATTGCAGGTCAGAACTGCAGAAATAAAAGGCATTAAAATTGCAATTAGCAAAAAACAAAATCCTGAAGTGTTTAGAGCATCAATATCAGCTACCATGGGGACAAAGTGAGAGGGAAAAAAAATCACAAATGCATTTTGAGCTTCAGGTCATAGCAGACATTTCTGAGCATAATAAAATACTCCCAAGGTGTGAGCGTCTGGGGCAGAGGTCAGTTTTTCTGACCGAGGAACTCACTTGATTTCTTGGGAGCAAATCCTCCAGTTTGAACTAAACCAACCTCTTTCCCTATAAAGGAGGAATCTGCAATCCATGGAAATTAAGAACCTTGTTCAAAATTTCACAGCTTTCTGTGGCTGAACATGGGTAAAGATTACTTCCATTGAATTTGGTGTAGAATTCTTTTTATAAAAGTGTTAGTTCACAAGTAGGATGTCAGAGTCAAGTAGGGCTTTTAAAAATATATTTTCAAGTCTTATTTCTAGAAATTCTCAGTCAGGGTAAGGGTGTAGCTCAGGAATCTGCATTTTGAAGACACTTCATGGGATTCTGATGTAGCAACAGGATACATTGAAAGCAGCTAATAGCAGATTCCCTTTTATTGTCTATGGATAGGTGACTTCAGATATTGGGAGAGAAAACCAGAAGTTTCAGTGGCTTTTCTCATTTTTTCTTTCTTTTTTAATTAATTTAGTTTTTTTGAGACAAAGTCTCACTCTGTCACCCAGGCTGGAGTGCAGTGGCGTGATCTCAGCTCACTGCAGCCTCTGCCTCCCAGGTTCAAGCGATTCTCCTGCCTCAGCCTCCTGAGTAACTGGGACTGTAGGCACCCGCCATAACACCTGTTTTGTATTTGTAGTAGAGACTGGATTTCACAATGTTGGCCAGGATGGTCTCGATCTCCTGACCTCATGATCCACCAGTCTCGGCCTCCCAAAGTGCTGGGATTACAGGCGTGAGCCACCGTGCCCTGTCCTTTTCTCCTTTTTTCTAGTATAAATTTGTTTTGGACGTGTGGCCCAAGTGAGCTGGGACCAGAGTTCTGAATCTGAAATTCCATACATGCAGCACACAGGGAAATAAAATAGTTCATCAGAGATGGCAAATAGGTGTCAGATGTCTTGCTGGTCTAGTCTGAGGTCACTGTGTTGAGAAGGATTCTGAGGTTATTTCTAGGGTTAGTGGGAAAGAGTGCTGCTACTGCCTACCATGGGCTCAGGAACTAGATGAAGTGGCTCACAAGTCAAGCACGGGGTTTTACCAGCGAAGGGAAAGCTTATCGGTTTTCTTTGGGTGTGTGCTAGCCTCCCAGGAAAGAATGGTGGCTGAACAATTTTGATATCTGAAGGACAAGGGAAATATGAAGCAAGCAACTCCCACCCACTTCCTCCACAATAGAATTTTATCTTTTAGTATTTCACTGCCATTACATTATCTCAGTGGCTTGGGACACAATCATGGCATCCTGGAAAGGCTGTTTTCCTGTTTTCTTTTGTCACATAGAAATTATTAATGAACTTTTAATAGCTAAATTTATCATTTTTAAGCCCATAAGGGCAGTACAATGGCACTAGTCTCTTTGCCTTTAGGCACAGTGCAGAAATTAGTTTTCATGTCCAGTTTTTGATCTCTAAATGACTAGTGTGAAGAACTGCAAAACACATCTTGTGTTTAAGGGTTACAAGCCACAGAGGCAAACATTTGCTGGCCATTGCCTGGTGGATGCTCTCGTTGTCTGAATTTGATGTTTTGAAGGCTCCTGATGCTTCTGTTTAGGCGTAGGAGATGTGTTGGTTAAAAGTGTGCATTTTGAAGCCACACTAACTGGATTGGAATCCCATCTCTGTCATGTTTTAGTTACATGGCCTTGAGCAAGTTATTCATCCTCTTTAGGACTCAGTTCCATCATCTGTAAAATGGCGATAATCATAATATTTACTCTTAGAAGCACCTGGGTTTGTGGTAAGGCTTACATGAGCTGAGGCATGTAAAATATTTCAAAAACTGCTTGGCACAAAAAATGTTTAATAAATGTTCGCTATTAATAAAGGTTAGCTATTATGTTGGTGGTGGTGGTGGCGGTTGATATTTTTCTGGCTATGCCAAGGGGAAGCTCAGTGTAGCAGGTGTGACAATATAGAATGGAACCATAGCCTTTCATTTTGTCTAATTTAAATAGAAACTTCTCTTTAAGAACATAAGTATGCCAATCCCAGCACTTTGGGAGGCCGAGGTGGGCGGATCACCTGAGGTCGGGAGTTCGAGACTAGCCTGACCAACATGGAGAATCCCCGTGTCTACTAAAAATACAAAATTAGCTGAGCATGGTGGTGCATGCCTGTAATCCCAGCTACTCGGAAGGCTGAGGCAGGAGAATTGCTTGAACTCGGGAGATGGAGGTTGCAGTGAACCAGGATTGTGCCATGGCACTCCAGCCTGGGCAACAAGAGTGAAACTCCGCTTCAGAAAAAAAAAAAAAAAAAAAAAAAAAAAGCATCCTCAAGTCGAAACTATAATACCTGAAAGAAAAGTGCTCAAGTATTGTGATATGGTTTGAATCTGCATCCCTGCCCAAATCTCATGTCAAATTGTAACCCCCGATGTTGGAAGTGGGGCCTGGTGGGAGGTGATTGGATCATGGGGGAGATTTCTTATGGTGTAACACCATTCCCCTTGGTACTGTTGTTGCGATAGTGAGTTCTCATGAGATCTGGTTGTTTAAAAGTGTGTGACACCTCCCCACTCTCTCTTAGTTCTCCTCCTGCCATGTAAGACACCTGCTCCCACTCTGTCTTCCCGTGAGTAAAAAGCTCTCTGAGGACTCCCCAGGAGCAGATGCCACCATGCTTCCTGTACAGCCTGTGGAACTGTGAGCCAATTAAACCTCTTTTCTTCATAAATTACCCAGTCTCTTACCCAGGCATTTCTTTATAGCAGTACAAGAATGGACTCATACGTATTGTTACAGGCCAATTATAAATGAATTGACAGAGATGAGAAATTGTTTAACAGAGTCAATTGCAAAGCAGAACCTAGTTGCAAAGCAAACTAGGTATTAAATACTGCTTCTAGAGATGCCCCTTTGAGTAAGAACAGAAATAGCATGGAACAGAATAAATTCCTTTCTCTTCCTTTGACCCTCAGAAGCGTTGGAGAAACTATGTGCCAAAGGATTACATCATTCATTGGATGATTGTTGCATAATGAAGCAGAACCACAAGCCGGTAAATATAATATGGATTTCTGGCGGGCAAACTGAAAAAATACAGATAATTATAAAATTGTCACATTTAACTACTTAGAAATTCTTCAAGTTGAAATTTGCCCATGACCAATCTGCATCTTTAAGATCTAGTGAACTCTTTAAGAATTAGAGAATTGAAGCACATGTTACAAATTACTTGGACAAAGAGGCTCAGTGACCTGGGAAAGACTCCCAATAGGAAGGAGGGTAAAAAGAAACTCGTAATCCAAATTAGGACAGGTGCTGCTGGCTTTTAGTTGAAAAATCTGGCTTAGGTTCCTGAAATGAAAGAGAGGCTTTCATTCAATATGGATAAGAATCTTTCATTCTGAAGCTCTTTAAAGTAACTACATGATAAACTAATATACATCTATTAGATATAAATGTGTCTCTCTTTGGTAATGTGTGATAAAATGAATATAAAACAGTGAAGTCAAAATAACCTTTTCTTTGTGTAGCTCAGCAATACATGCAGGCTATTTTGAAATTGGCAAATACAAATATTAACAAACAGGGGAAAGCCAGTGAAAAGGGGGAATATGGAGATTTGCTGAACTGAGTTCTGTGTAAGTGCAAATTGGTAAAATGGAATTCACAGCTCTCCCCCCACCTGCCACAAAGTGATGAAGTGGACTCAAATTGTGTGCAATAGAAGGAGCTAATGAAGAAGGGTTATAAAAGTGGCCCACAGCACCCCAAATCTATAACAGAGACATGTATTGTGTAGAAAAATGTGTTCCACTGCATTGCAAAAAGAAGAGTTTTTAATTTAAAAACCATACTATGGTATGAAAATAGATCCTACAAGTCCAACGGATAATTTTAATGTTGATTATTTTAAGTGAATTCCATCACCTACAAATGAAAACATGCCAGTTAATATACAACATGATTGAAGAACACCATTAATCATGTCAAATAATCTTAAATCTGATAAACAATTACTCAGTATGCCCTATTCGGGAAAAAGACTCATTCCTGAATGTGTTGAATACTTACGAATCCACATGGTTCTCAAACGAAAGGAGAATTGGAAAAGGTGAAGTCTTAAATGCACACTCCGCAATTGCTTCTATCACTTCCTAAAAATGAGAACACATGTATATTCAGTATGCCAGAATTTTTCATCTGTATATTCTTGAAAGGTATTAAATCTATTAATATAGTTGTCTTTTCCATTCAGAGAATTGTATCGAATGGCCTGAAATGGCTAGAAGGGATTTTGAGGGCTGCTGGACGGTGCTAATTCTGACTCTTGATTCTGGAAAGTTATAAGAAGATTGGATTTTGGTGGAGGGGAGAGAGAAATGCAAAGGAGAGGATTCTCCTGTTTGCTAATTGTATCTATTTTTTAATAATCAAAGAAATCTAATCATATTATAAACATTTGGGACAGTAAGAGAAGGCAAAAATTTTCACCCACAAATCCACTTTCTGAACCAAACCATTGTTAGCATTTCATTATATTCACTTCTAGTCTGTCTCTCATGTATTTATGTAGCTTAGTTTTAATTACAGTATATACTCAACTTGTATTTTTAAAAAGCTTTGTTATTGAGATGTGACTTTTTTGAGATATAATCTGCCCATTGAAAGTGTACAGTTCAATGGTTTTTAGTATATTCAGAGAGTCATGCGAGCACCATCCCAATATAAGTTAGAACATTTTTATCGCCTCAAAAAGAAACCATGTACCCACTAGCAGTCACTCCTCATTCCTGCACCCCACCCCACACACCTAGTCCCAGGCAATCATTCATCACTTTATGTATTCATAGATTTGCCTATTCTAATTATTTCATATAAATGTAACCATACAATATATGGTTGTTTGTGCCGACCACCTTTCACTTAGCATGGTTTCAAAGTTCATCCATGTTGTAACATGTATCAGTACTTCAATTTTCAATCTGCATTTTTAAAAATGTATATGTCACAAGTTTCAATATATGTACAAAATTCTAGAAAGTAAAGGTATTAAAATTGATTTAACCATTCCCCAACTGTTGGACAGCTACATTTTCAGAGCTGTCATTCAAATAATTCTACAGAGAACAGCTTCATTTTTTCCCTAATATCTTGATTGATTTTCTGGGAATGAATTCTCAGAAGGGGAATTCTTGATTTAAGAATATGAATACTCTTACAGTCCCTCATGTATTTCAAATTACTTTTCACTTTAGATTGCCCAGAGTAATGCATGCAGGACCAGATTTCAATGCATATTCACCAGTTTTGGGCATTATTCTTAAAAATGTTTTTCTTATTTAACTGGTAGTAAAGTGCAGTCTCATTTATTGTTTAATTATATCACTTTCAGTAGTAGTGAGGTTGCATATTCCCATACACTTGTTTTTAGTTACATTTATTTTTTTCATATTCTCCTTTTAAATAGGGATTTCCACTCCTATTCTTTATGCCTGAGCCTTTTCTGCTATCGTCTCTACCTTCCCCATTCAATATATAGCGTTCTTTATATCCACTCCTGAAAGCTATTTCCCTGGCCCCAGAGTATAAGTAAGGCTTTCTAATTCTGTACTACATTTGCATATATCCTCTAAGAAGGATTTGCCTGCATGGAGCGAGAAGAATCACTTTTACTGTTTCTTAGAAATGAACTCACAGATTATCTTTCATACATAATCAGTTTAACTTTTACGATAGTTGAGTCTGTCAAAAAAAGCAAGCACTATAAAAGGCAAGCAACATCCAGATTTTAAATGCTATATTTGATTTATTTGAGTATAGGCTTTGGATTCAAACCGACTTTTGAATCCTTGCCTCTGAGATTTGCAAGCTGTGTGACCTTGGGAAAATCACTTAATGCCTCTGTGTATTGGTTTGCTAATCTATAAAGTGCAATAAACCTCACTTCACAGATCTGTTGTGAAGATGCAGCAAGAGAAGGCAAAGGACTCAGCTCATGATGGTTATCTATTCTTGATTCAACTAAGGTGCAGAGATATTAACTGACTTACCTTAAGTCATAGAGAAGAGAATCCAAGATTAAACCCCAGGAAGATTTGTCTGACTCTAGAGCTTATTAATACCCAACCATTGCAGTAACTTCCATGCAGCTAATAATCTTAGCCAGCTAAGAGCAAAGCCCTCAAAAGAACTGAGAATAGAGGTCATCAAGGATGTGGATGCTAAGTGTGGAAAAAAAGGGCTGGATTTTGTTTATTTCATAAATTTGGCACTAGTGTATCAGGTAAAGGATAAATACAGTAGAGCCATTCTCGCCTCCTCTCCTTCTCTCACACCTTTCAATTCATCAGCAATCTTGTCCAAAATAGGTCCCGAGTACAGTCAAGTGTCAGCACCTCCACTGCTATCATCCTGATACAAAAACCACTGCAGTGACTGCTGTGGTAGATTTTATCACCATTCCCACGTATTTGCTTCCCCCTTCCTTTGGGAGAATTCTGTCTACACACCCTGTTGACCATAGGCTTGGCCGTGGTTTTATTTTGGCCAAGGGCCTGTGTATGAAAATGACATGTGCTGCTGCTGAGTAGAGTCTTAAAGACCCATCATGTTGTTGTCCAGCCATTTCTCTTTCTCTTCTCCCATGAGTCCAGTGATATCATAGATGTGGGTTGTTCTTTCAACATGAATTCCAAACAATAGCAATCAGAGCAACAGCTGACATCTAACCTGTGTGAGAAGTAAACCGTTGTGGTTGTAAATCACTGTGATCCTAGGGTTTCTTCTTATTGCAGCAAAACCTAGGAGAAGCTGACTGACAGTCTTTTTATTGCTTTCCTGGCTTCTAGTACTTGCCGCTGTATTCCACACCATAGCCAGAGTCATTGCTCCTAAACATGAGTAGACAGTTTCGCTCCTTTCTATAAACTTTCCAATGACCTCCCATTTCACATGGAATGAAATCCAAATTCATTATCATAATCTACACAGCCTAACTTGATCTGGCACCTGCCATTTCTTTAAATACATCTCTTTTTCCTCTCCCTCTCTGTCACCTGGATACAGTCCATTGATCTTGTTGCTTTTCCTTGAATACATCAAGCATGCTTTCATCTCACCATCTTTGCACTTTGTTCCTTCAGTCAAAAATACTCACATTAAAGCATGATTTACTGCATTGATTTGGGAGTAAGTACAGCACCTGTGCCTAAACATCACCTTACCAAAGGCCTGCCTCTACCATCCAGACAGCATAATTCAGGTCTCTCTTTTCCTTGCCCACTGATTTAGATTGCTTTAAAGGGCATGTTTCTATGTACCGTATCTTTGTGTTTATTTTGATCTATCTTTCCTCACTAGACAGTGTAAACTTCTTGAGGTAAGAACTTGTTTTCTTCACTGTTCTGCTAAGGCACATTCTAGATGCTCAGGAAATACTTTCAAATGAATGAATGAACTCCTAATATATGACAGAAGAGAAACAGAATTTATCTAGTTGTGTTCCCATTTATTCTTCTATTGACTAGCTCAGAGGTCAGCATACATTTTTTCATAAAGGACCAGGTAGCATTTTAGGCTTTGCTGGCCATATAGTTTCTATTTCTATGGCAACTGTTCAACTCTGCCTTTGTAGCTCGTGATGATTAATTTTATGTGTCAACTTGACTGGGTCATGGGGTGCCCAGATATTTCGTTAAACATTCTTCTGGGTGTCTCTGTGAGGGGTTTCTGGATGAGATTAACATTTGAATTGGTAGACCGAGTTAAGCAGCCTGCCCTCCCTAATGTGGATGGGCCTCATTCAACGCACTGGAAGCCTGAATAGGAAAAAAAAAAAAAGAGTAAAGGAGAATTTGCTGTTTCTGCCTGACTGTTTTTGAGCTGGGACATTGGTCTTCTCCTACCTTGAGACTTGGACTTGGACTGCAGCTTACACCATTAGCTCTCCTTATTCTTAGGCCTTTGGATTGGGACTGATATTGTGCCATTAGGTCAGCTGGGTCTCCAGCTTGCCAACTGCAGATCTTGGGATTTCTCAGCCTCCATAACCACATAAGCCAGTTCCTTTTAATAACTCTGTCTCTCTAGAGATAGAGACAGTCCAGACTAATGCATAGCCCCAAAGCAGCCACAGATAATATGTAAACAATTGGATGTGGCTGTGTCCCAATAAAGCTTAATTCACAAAAGCAGATGACAGGATAAATGTGGTCTGCAGAAGATAGTTTGTTGACCCTTGGACTAGTCTGATCATTGGCTTAAGCAAAGCTTAAAACTTGATTGTAACCAAAGATAAATGTAATTTTGTATTACAGAAGATTGAATGTTGATTCATACTTAATAGCCAGATTAACTTTTTAACAACTTCATGGCTGAAATTTCCAATAAACATTACAAAAGTCCTGCAAATACACATGTAAATAAAAGTGTAATTAGTCTTTGCTAACTTTTCTTTTCTTTTTTTTTTTTTGAAACGAAGTCTTGCTCTGTTGCCCAGGCTGGAGTGCTGTAGCATGATCTTGGCTCACTGTAACCTCTGCCTCCTTGGTTTGGGCGATTCTTGTGCCTCAGCTCCCAGGCAGCTGGGACTACAGGCATGTACCACCACACCCAGACAATTTTTTGTATTTTTAGTAGAGATGGGGTTTTGCCATGTTGACCAGGCTGGTTTCGAACTTCTGACCTCAAGTTATCTGCCTGCTTCAGCCTCCCAAAGTGCTGGGATTATAGGCATGAGCCACTGCGCCTGGCCATCTTTGCTAACTTTTCTGATGATGGCTGTCTTCATTGTCTGTTTGAGAACTTCTCCAGCTGCCTTTAATAATGAAAGTGGATTGTAGGCTCACCTCATTGGTATTTCGGCCAAGGAGAGTCAAATCTGAAGGTGGGTAAGACCCCTCCTCCCCTCCTCTAATTTAGGAAGTGGGTATTTAGCTCCAGGTCAAATCTCTCTCGTATCTTCCTTTGGTTGATAAAATGTGAGTGTTTCTCTGGGCCTCTTAGACTTGTAGGGAGTCCATGCCCCCCATCTTCCTGGCTCCCTGGGTTTCATTCTCTCTTCCCACAGTGGGGATGCTAGTGTGGTCTGAACTACAGCTGGGCCACTGGGGTTCCTAGATCTTCCTGTGTTGTTTCCCCTGCTTTTCCATTTGTCCTGCCTCTGACATTGTGTACTTCTGATCTTGTGTGCTTGGCTTAGGACTCATGTTTGCAGTGGAGCATCCAAGCTCATCTGCTGTTCCCTTCTCTGCTCCTACTGGGCCCCTAACCAAGGCCTGGGCTGTGTTTAGTTTACTACAATTTGGGCTTCTGGTACCTTCCTGGAGGTGAAGTGGATGCCATGGGTTGAGCGTAGAGGATGCCCACACCTTCTACCATGTTAGCCTTACAGATGACTTAATTTAGCCCCCCACCTTCACTCTGGCTTAATAAGTCCATGCCTATGTAACACACAACCATTATATTTACAGAAAGAAAGCTAACATTTGGCTTTTATGAATTTCAATGATAACATCCAAAGCTAACATTTATAGAGTAGGCACTGCATGCCATGCATAGTTTAAGCAATATTTGTGTATTAAGTAGGGTTATTGAATGCTTACTTACAACCACCCTAGGAGGTAAGCACTATTATCATCTCCAGTTTGCTGATAACAAAGGAGACTTGCACTGGGAAGGAAGCTTCTCCAAGGTCTTGCAGTGACTAAATGGAAGAGCTTGTACTGGACCCCTGGCAGTCATCTCCAGAGTAGCATCCTTACCTTCTGTGTTCACCTTTCTCTCTTTCTCACCCATCCTTCTCCCTCCTCTCTCTGTCCACCTCTCCCCATCTCTACCATAACTTTAGCTAGCAGCTTAGGAAAATTTTCCAATTATTAAAGCAAAAAAAATTACTAAATTTCATCTAATAATTTTAGTTGGGAGCAACTGAAAACTTCAGAAGTTCCACTGGAGAACTTTCATGCTTTTGTGCCTTTGAAATATTTTGTATGGTGTGCGTGATCAGTTAGGATGAGAAAACCAGTTATAGCTTTTAAGTTACATTCTTTCATACTTGCTGTAATTGGTGGACATTGGATGTGAAAGTACGGTAATGCTCCATTGCTCTTTATCAAGCCAAAATTG